>NC_000003.12:127038907-127190422 GCF_000001405.40 Homo sapiens | reverse complement strand
TAACTTTGAGACAGGCAAAAGTTACTTAAATAACGAACAAAAAAGGTAACCATAAAGGAAAAGATTGATGAATTTTACTCCATTAAAATTAAAAGATATTTATAAGAAGATACCAAAAAGAGAATGAAAAGACAAGCTACAGACCAGAGGAAGATGTTTGTAATACATGTATCCAACCAAAGATACATATACAGAATATATTAAAAGCTTCTACAAATCAATGGTCACAGCTCACAAATCAGTGGTCACAGCTACTCAGGAGGCTGAGGTGGGAGCCAAGGCTGTGGTGAGCTATGATAGAATCACTGCACTCCAGCCTGGGTGACCAAGTGAGATCCTGTCTCTAATTAATTAATTGATTAATTTTTTTAAAAACTTAAATTGACATTATTCAGTGCTGAGAAGCATGTGAAGGAACTGGAACCCTCAAAAGTTGATAGTGAGACTTTAAATTGGAATAATACTTTGGAAAACTAGCAGTACCCTATAATCCAAAATTTACACTCCTAGGTGTTATATATATATATATATATATATATATATATACACACACACACATATATATGAAAAAATAACTGCATGAGTCCACAAAATATATGTACAAGAGTGTTTATAGCAATTTTATTCATAACAGGTAAAATTGGGAACAACCCAAATATTCATCAACAAAAGTGTGACATGTTCATACAACAGAATGATACACAGCAATAAAAACAAATGTTCTCTTGCTCCATGTCATAAGAGACATGAATCTCACAAACATAATGTTGAGCTAAATAAGCCAGACATAAAGGAGTTCATTCTGTGTGGTTTAAGTTGTATAACATTCAAAAATAGGCAAAAATAATCTATAGCAATAATCTATAATGATAAATGTTAGAAGTCACCCTCCAGGGCCAGGGGGTGGTGTGGATTGATGGGAAGGGTCCCCTGGGAAGCTTCTGGGGGCTAGGGGTGATTTATATCTTGATAGTTACATATGTTTACATAGATAAAATTACAATAAAAATTCATTGACATATGGGAGTCCTAGAGAGGGAGGAAAGAGAAAAAGGAGCAGAAAGAATATTTTTAAAAATAGTGGCTGAAAACTTGACAAATCGGATGAAAAACAATCCCCACATCCAAGAACTTTAATGAATTCCAAGTAGGATAAACTCAGAGATCCATACCTAGACAGATTATAATCAATAACACATTCCTAAATAGCCAATGGGTCAATGAGAAATCACAAGGAAAATTAGAAAAGACTTTGAGATGAATGAAAACAAATATGCAACATACCAAAACATATGGGTTACAGTGAAAGCAGTGTTCAGAGGGAATTTATACCTGTAAATGCCTAGGTTAAAAAAAGAAGAAAGCTCAAATCAATACCCTGACCTTCAACCTTAAGAATCTAGAAAAAGAGCAAACCAAACCCAGAGCAAGAACAAGGAAGTAAATAATAAAAACTAAAGTGGAAATAAATGAAATAGAAAATGGAAAAGCAATAGAGAGAAATCAGTGAAACCATAACATAGTTCTTGGAGAAGGCCACAAAATTGACAAATGTTTAAGCCAGATTGACCAAGAATAAAAGAGAGAAGACTCAAATTACTAAAATCAAGAATCAAAGAGGGGACATTACTACCAAACTTACAGAAATAAAAAGGATTATAAGAAAATACTAAGAACAATGGTAAACCAACCAATTAGACCAGCTAGATAAAAACAGAAAAAATTCTAGAAAGACACAAACTACCAAAACTGACCCATGAAGAAACAGAAAATCTGAATAGACTTATAGCAATAAAGAGATTAAATCAGTGATCAAAAACTTCTCAACAAAGAAAAGCCCAGGACCAGATAGTTTTCACTGGTAAATTCTACCAGGTGTTTAAAGAATTAACACCAAACCTCAAATTCTTCCTAAAAATAGAAGAGAAGGGAAGATTTTCCAACTCATCCTATGATACCAGCATTACCCTAATACCAAAGCCAGATAAAAACATCACAAGAAAACTGCAAACCAGTAACTCTTGAAAATTCTCAAGAAAATACTAGCAAATGAAGTCCAACAACATATACACAGAATTATACAAGATCAAGTGGGATTTATCTCCAAAATGCAAAGTTGGCTCAACATTTGAAAATCAGTTAGTATAATATATTCTATTAATAGAATACAGGTCAAAAAACACATGATCATCTCCATAAATACAGAAAAAATCATTTGACAAAAATTCAACACCCTTTCATGATAAAACACCCAACTAGCTAGGAATACAAAGGAACTTTCTCAACTTGATAAAGGACATCTATAAAAACAAACAAACAGCACCCTCACAGCTGACACCATATTTTCTCCCTAAAAGAAAGAATAAGACAAGAATGTCTACTCTTACCAATTCTATTCAAGGCTGTACTGGAGGTACTAGCCAAAGAAATTAGGCAAGAAGAAATAAAAGGATCCAGATTGGAAAGGAAGAAGTAAAACTATCTCTATTTGCAGGTGACATGATTATGTATATAGAAAATCCTAAGGAATCTACCAGGAAAACCAACCAACCAACCAAACAAACAAACAAACCCTGTGAGAGCTCATAAATGAGTTCAGTAAGATTGCAGGATGCAGATCAAAATATTAAAAATTATATTGTATTTCTACCTACTAGTAATAAAAAAATCAAAACATAAAATTAAGAAATAATTCCAAGTACAATACCATCAAAAGGAATGAAATATTTAAGAATAAATTTAGCAAAAAAGTGTCAGACTTGTAACTGCAAACTACAAAATATCATTGAAAGAAATTAAAGAAGATCAGAATAAATGGAAAGACATCCCATATTCACAGATTAGAAGACAATATTGTTAAGATGGCAATACTTTTTAAACTGATCTACAAGTTCAATGTAACTGTCAAAATCCCAGCTGGCTTTTTGCATAAATTGACAAGCTGATCCTAAAATTCATATGGAAATGCAAGAGACCCAGAATATACAAAACCATCTTGAAAAAGAAGAACAAAATTAGAGGATTCATTTCCCAATTTCAAAACTTACTACAAAGCTACAGTAATCAAGACTATGTGGTGCTGACCTAGGAGAGACGTATAGATCAATGGAACAGAATTGTAAATCTAGAAGGAAGTCCATACATTTATGGTCAATTGATTTTCATCAAGGGTGCTGGGACTGTTTGATGGGGGAAAGCACTGTCTTCTAAGCAAATGGTGCCAGGTTAACTGGATACACACATGCACAAGAATGGAATTGGACCCTACCTCATGCCTACCCAGAAAAATTAATTCAAAATGGATCAATGGCCTACATGGGAAACCTAAAACTATCAGAAGAATTTGTAGATGTAAATCTTCATGACTTGGATTAGGCAACAGTTTCCTAGAAATGACACCTAAAGTACAAGCAAGCGAAGATCAAATCGATAAACTGGACTTCACCAAATTAAATTTTGTTGCGCTTCAAGGGACATTATCAAGAAAATTAAAAGATCTGTAGAATGGAAGGACATACTTGTAAATCATATTTGATACAGGACATGCATCTAGAATTTATTTTTTAAAAGCCTCAAAACTCAACAATGAAAGGCAAATAACGCAGTTTAATAATGGGCAAAATATTTGAATAGACATTTCTCCAAGGACCATAAACAAATGGCCAATAAACACATGAAAAGATGCTCAACATTATTAGTCCTTGGGGGACAGCAAATCAAAATCACAATGAGATGCCACTTCACACCCACTTAGGATGGATATAATAAAAAGACAATTACTAGTGCTGCCAAGGATGTGGAGAAAGTGGAACCTTCATACCTTGCTGGTGGGAATGTATGGCATTTCCTGAAAGAATTAAATAGAGTTACCATGTAACCCAGCACTTCTACTCCTAAGTCTATATCCAAAAGAAAACACATGTCCACACAAAAACCTTGTCCATGAATATTCACAGCAGCATTAGTCATAGTAGCCAAAAAGCAGAAACTACCCAAATGTTCATCAGTTGACAAGTGAATAGACAAAATGGGGTCTATCCATACCATGACATATGTCACCATACAAACCAATGAAATCTGAGGCATGCTACAACATAGACAAAACTTATAAATATTATCCTAAGTGAAGCTTGTGTGGTAGCTCACACCTATAATCCCAGCACTTTGGGAGGCTGAGGTGGATCGATCATTTGAGGTCAGGAGTCTGAGACCAGTCTGGTCTACTGAAAAAACAAAAATTAGCTGGGTGTGGTGACACACGCCTGTGATCCCAGCTACTCGGGACGCTGAGGCAGGACAATTGCTTGAGCCTGAGAGGCAGAGATTGCAGTGAGCCAAGATTGTGCCTCTGCACTCCAGCCTGGGCCACAGTTTGAGACTCCAGCTCAAAAAACAAAAACAAAAACAAACAACAAAAAAAAACTAAGTGAAAGAAGTCAAGCATTGATATGAAATGTCCAGAATAGGCAAATTCATAGAAACAGAAAGTAAATTAGAGGTTGCCAAGGGCTGGGGGAGGGGGAAGGGGGTGTGCCTGCTAATGAGTATGGGATTTTTTTTGGAGTGATGAAAATATTCTGGAATTAGATAATGGTGATGGTTGCACAAATGTGTGAATATTCTGAAAACGACTGAATTGCACACTTTAAAAGGGTAAATTTTGTGGTATGCGAATTATATTTCAATTAAAAAATCATTGAGCTTTACTGTTAAGGTTTATATGCTGTTCTGCAGAAGGAGGTAAAAGGAAATACATTTATATAATCTAAAAGAGGATCAAGAATGTATATCTTACTTTTTAATAAAATAGTCAATAGACAAAACAAACAACTGTAATGCATCATTATTGATTGGCCCTAGTGTTTACAAAGCTGTAAAATATATTCTGAGGACAGTTATGAGAACTTGAATATGGAGTAAATAAGTATCGGATGACATCATGGAATTGGTCGTTTTTTGCAGCTAAGATAATGCTACATGTGAATGTGAAAGAACATCCTTATTTTTTAGAGCTGTCTTCCGGAGTATTGTAATATCTCTGATTTAGTTTTCAGTGGTTTGGCATTGTGCATGGAGAGAGAGATAGAGAGAGAGAGAGGAAGCAATATGGTAAAATGTTAATACTTGTGGAATTTGGGCAACAAGTTCTTTGTACTGTTCTTTCTACGTTTCATCATGTTCAAGGCTTCTCATAATGCATTTATAAGGAAAGAGAAGCGTGTGCATGAATGTAAGTGTTTAGTTGAATTCTCCACAGCCACCCCCACTCCTCCCTCTGGCTCATCCACAAGGGTCCCATCCCAGTTGCAGGCTGGGTCCCAGGCAGAGCACTGGCCCTGCAGAGCTGGTCTTCAGCCTGGCCGCTGGGGAACCGTGGGAAAGGGCGGCTGGGCTGTCCCCCTACCTGAGGCCTGGGAGTCAGGGATGTGTGCACTGTCAACAGATTTCTGGTGGGTCTTTGGCTGTTGTTCAGACAAGGGCAGTTGGGGGGAAGCAGACTCCAAAAGGAAATGCAGTGGCCCTCCTTGGGAGAAGTAAAAAGTCTTTATCAAGCCTGAGGCCTTTTCAAAAGTAAAATGTCACACTGGAGTTACCCTTAGAGAACAACACTCTGGAGAAGGAGTGGCTAGAAGACGAAGCTTGACAGAAGCCATAAAGAGTTGTAGAGGACAGTGGGGTCGACAGAGGAGGGGACACCTCCCTGAGTGAGTGGTGAATGACAGATCCAGACGGTGCGGGGGAGGAGGGGACGGCACTGCAAGGACTAGCGCCCAGTGGCTCCACAGCAGTCCTTCCCCACGGAGCCCGGCCTGCTGTGGCCCCAGCAGGACGCCCCACCAACGCGTCAGTTTTCACCCCAAAAAAGAGCTGTCCTCTTCCCCTGCTCTCAGACTCCTGCCACCCCCTCCACCTGTGGATCTGAGGGGCCATTGTGGGGGGACTCCCTGCCGCTGCATCCTCTGTAGGAAGAGCCTAAGGACCCACCTGCACGGGCCAGCCATCCGCTTTCTCACCCTAAAAACGGAGGTGAGTTCCTACACTGTGACTCAGACTTCAGGATCCAGAAGCACAGTTGGAGGTGCGGGGCTGTCTCTCATTATCAGTTTAAGAAGCTGCCTGAGTGTGGGGCTGAGTTGGGAGGACCGAGGAGTACAGGACTGGGGTAAGCAAAGACCCTGGAGGCTAAGGCGGCTGGGTGCTGACTTCCCACGAGGTTCTAAAAGCTGGAGGACCTCAAACTGAAGGTGCCGAGGCAGCTGGAGGGGGATGCCCATATGGAGATAATGGCCAAAGGGCGGCCGCAGGTCAACCCTAGGGGGCTGGGCAGGTGTGTGGCAGGAGCCCCCACCAGTGATCAGTGACACAGGAGACCCCCATGACAAGGGAAGTGCCCAGGCAGAGAGCGAGTCCACAGACAGGTCCACCATGGGGGCCAGGCAGGTGGGTGATGTGGGGTCTCCTTGTCACTGACAAAGAAAATGAAGGTTTAAGCCAGGTGTGGTAGTGCACCTATAGTCCCATCATTCAGGAGGCTGAGGTGGGAGGATCATCTGAGTCCAGGAATGTTGAGGCTGCAGTGAGCGGAGATCACACCACTGCACTCCAGCCTGGGTGACAGAGTGAGACACTGTCTTGAAAGAGAAAGGAAGGGGAGGGGAGGTGGAGGAGGGGGAGAGGGAGGGGGAGGGTTTAAAAAAGAATGGAAGGTTGGCTTTAATCACTGAGTTTGGTAAAGTAGAAAAACCTGATGTACCTGGCATTTCACTGGATATGCAGATCAACACGTTCTGATGCATTGTTGGGGCACACAAAAGGGATCCCAGAGACCACCCTGGCAGAAGTGTCCCCCTGCGCACCCTGACACATTGACCCAGGGTCCATAGACCAAATGGCAGGCTGGGGCAGTGGTGAGGGGACAGCCAGGGCAGCATAACTGAGCTGAGGACAGGCTGCAGGGAGAAGGGCCATAGCAGGGAAGGCCTGTGCTCCTCTGTCCAGGGCAGGTTGACCCTCTCACCCTGTGCCAAGCAGGATCCCCACCCTGACTCCCCTAACAAAATCTGCTGGTCACCCTCAAAGGCCTGATGTTCCTGGCATGTCCCTCCTTGGTGCTGTGCCCAGAAGGCAGCCTTGCATGGTCTAGGACAGCGAGGGCCACCGGGGCTGCTGTGGGCTCCAAGCAGTGATGGCCTCCACCCATGCTGACTCCTCCCCTAGAGATGAAGGGGCCCAGATTTACCACCCAGGGGCAGGCAAGGGTTGGGGAGGCATGCGCAGTAGAGGAGGGAGGGGCTTTGACCAGGTGTGACTCAGGGAGACAGGGGATCAGGTTCCCTGTCAAAGGTCCACCTCTCCAGGGCTGCCTTAGGCGAGAAGCTGGTGGGATCGATCCAGCCATCTGTTTAATCCCAGAAACAAAGGTACTCACTGCACTGTGTTGCCCGCTGGCCAGGAGAGGGGCAGGGTGTGTAATTGACCTACTTGTCAGAAGTCAGGGAACAATGACCCCAGCAGGAGGGTTTGAAGGGAGTGGGAGTCAGTTGGGTGGAGGGGGTTGGGGACCTCAAAGGCAGGGGGCAGCCCAGCTACCAAGGCCCCCGGGGAGGGAGCAGACCCCTCCCAGGAGCCCACAGGCCACTGTAGCTGCAGCTGGGGTGAGGGGAGCTGGACCTGGACCTGGACCTGGACCTGGACCTGCCTCAGCCCTTGCCGTCGGGGTGGGGCCTGGCAGAGGCCAGGAGCCAGTCACCCTGGCCCTGGGTCTGGGGTTGGCACCAGGGCTCTCTCCAGTGGGGTTCCTGTCCCCACTTTCGAGAGGGGGTTACACCCTTAAGCCCTGACTTCCCTCTGAGCCTCTAGTTCGTGTGGGTGTGCAAAGACTGGTGTGCCCTCAGGGGCTTCGCTGTGTTATTCGGACCCTTTTGTCTTGTCTCCCTTGTTTCTCTGAGCAGCCAGTTGCTTTCTGAGCTGCATGCTATTAAATCTTCTGTGTTTCTGGTTGGCTTTCATGCACACATTTGGAAGCTGCTTCTTTAGGCCAGTAGAGGTGATCTATTCTTAATGGAAAGTGCCTTTTATCAAAATTAACTATGTTTCTTCGTCGTTTTATACTTTTACCTTCAATTATATTTTCCCAGAGAACTTTGTTACACCTTTCTTTTTGTCAGCATTTGTCTGCTGTACCTTTCATATTATTGTCATTTTCTTGCTTCACTTTTATTGCATTTTAGGTGTGTCCCTTGTAAACTATAACTGGATTTCATGTTTTAATCCAATTTGAGAATCTTTTAATACTCCATTCAGAGTCTTTTCTCCTTATTTATTTTCCCCATTTACTATGCTTGTCACTACTTTTTCTCCCATTCTGACATTCATTGGATTACTTCATTTCTTTTGTTCCATTTCCCCTTCTACTTCTTTAAAAGTTATATCTTTTAGTTTTGTTCTTATAGTCATTACCTTTATTTATTTCTTATTTATTTTTGAGCTGGAGTGTCACTCTGTCACCCAGGCTGGAGTGCAATGGCGCAATCTCAGCTCACGGCAACCTCCACCTCCCGGGTTCAAGCAATTCTCCTGCCTCATCCTCCTAAGTAGCTGGGATTACAGACACCTGCCATCATCCCCAGCTAATTTTTGTATGTTTTGTAGAGACGGAGGTTTCACCATGTTCGCCAGGCTGGTCTTGAACTGCTGACCTCAGGTGATCCACCTGCCTCAGCCCCCCAGTGCTGGGATTACAGGCGCGAGCCACAATGCCCGGCCTCTGGTCATTACCTTTAAATTATTAACACATGCATATTCTTAAAATTCTAATGTTAAGCAACACCTGTATTCTTTCTCCCCAAAGAAAGGATTTCTCTCAGAATCCTTTCATTGGCTGAGTGACTGCGGCCCTCCCACCTCCCTACCCCTACAGACCAGCTCCAGTGTTATCATGGGAAACCTGAATTCTGTCTAGTTGGTAATATCCTGCTTTACTGTTTTAATTGGTACTGGTTAGATTATATCACAGAGGTTTCTGATGTTCTCACTGTTTCTGTGTGATCTACTTGTGAACATGTGATGTAGATTGCTGTTTCTCCTTGTGCTATCTTTTGAGCTTTGTGTATTTTCAAGTTTGTTGTTGAGTACACTGATGGTTATGCTTGTTATATTTTCTTGGTGATCATTCCTTTCACCAGGATGAGACGCACCCCTCAGTGATGACCGCCTGCTTGCCCCTCCAGGCCTACCTTTCTGCCCTGCTTGGAGCCCCAGCAGCTTCCCTCAGTAGATTGCATCTGCCACACTCCTGCCCGCTCTGGCTTTCAGGAAATCAGAGAGCAGGATAGAGGGTGGGCTCAGGTTCTTGATTCTGTCGCCCAATTCCTCCCTGCAGGCCTGTGGGCTGGTGGCAACTGCATTCCTAATCAACTGTCCCTCTCCTAAAGCTGCAAGTGTCCCTGGGCCCTGGAACACCTCCCACTCTCTCTCCCTCTTCTGCAGACCTCGGCAGGGCCCTGGGGACCTCATCATCTCTTGTTGGTTCCTTTAGCCCTGCCAATATGAGCAGCGGCAAATCCATACAGGTCTGCAGCAACTCAATTCTTGCCTCCTCGATGGAGAGAATTCGTCAGAGGGGCATAAGGCAGAGTGAGAGACCAAGGTGAGTTTTTAAGCAGGACTGAGAATTTATTAAAAAATTTTAGAGCAGGACCAAAAAAAAGTAAAGTACACTTGGAAGAGGGCCAGGGTGGCAACTTGAGATTCAGGTGCCTCGTCCGACCTTTGCTGTGGGGTTTTATACACTGGCATGACTTGGGGTTTGTGTTTCTTCTCCCCTGATTCTTCCCTTGGGGTGGGCTTAGAGAGGCCCACTTGGGAGGGGTTGCACAGTGTATTTACTGAAGTTATGCACATGCTCATCTGAGGTGTTTTTCCCTTACCAGTTGAGTGTTCCTAGAGGAGGGTCATGTACCAGTTAAACTCCATTTTGCCTCTTAGTGCACATGCTTGAGCCCACTCACCCAACTCCTGAGATCTTATCGGAAAGCTGCTGATTACCAGCTCCAGGTGTTTTCTATCTACTGGGAGACTGCCTTTCCCTGGTGCAACCAATTATTATTTTAGAGAGACAGTTTAACAACCACCTGACCATCACCTGATGGTGGCCTGATATTCCTGCTGGGGGAGCCCTCTCCTTCCCTGCTCATGTCTGCCTAGCTACCAACTCTAACACCAGTATCCCTGCAAGTAGGACTTTCATTCATTGCTCTTCTCTTAATCCTTCGAGTGTTTCCTTCTGAATCATGATTGATCCATTGTTTTTGACTCTTTATAATGACATTTCCTTAAATTTTATTTTAGATTATGTGGCTACTAATATACCCTCCTTCTTTTGTTAATATTTACAGGCCAGTCTCTGTCTTTCCACAGATATATTTAATCAATTTGCATTTGCTACCCTTTACTGTGTGAGTGAATCCATGTCATTCTTCCTCAGCAGAGGCCAGTTTCTTGGCATCTTCTTACCCTCTCTGCCCTTCTCGCCTATCCCAGACTACTTTTAATCAGTACGCCTGCAAGCTTAATGCCTTCCATGTGTGTCTCTGCCTGCCACTGCTTCTTGGCTTCCACAGCTTCCTACTGTATTTTTGTAATTACTGGATAACTTCCTTTATTAATTTTTTCAGTGAAGATCTGTGAGGGTGATAAACTGATACAAATACCTTAATATTCCAATACTTCATCTTATTATCAGTCCTTGTTGACAGTGTGGCTGGGTATAGAATTCCAACTCCAGAGTTATTTTGCCTCAGCACTTTAAAGATGCTGTTTTATTATCTTCTTGCCTTCATTTTGCTGATTTCATCTGACTATTCTTTTATATATGGCCCACATTCTTTATTGGTAACTATTAGGGTTGATTCTTTATCCTTGGTGTAATGGAATGTGAGCATAGTGTGGCCAGTTTTTTGTCTTACGGTGATTTGCTCAGTGTGTGCCTTCGATTTGAAGATTAATTTATTTTTTAGTTCTAGAGGTTCTGTTTTACTTTTTGAAAATATTTCTTCTTATTTAATCCATTCTGGAATCCCAACTAGATAGATATTGAACGTCCCTGAAACCTCAATGTCCCATTTTTCCATACTCTCCAGCTATTTATTCCTTTGTGCTGCATTGTTCTGCAATGTGTCCAATCTATTAATCTTTTACATGGAATGTTATATATTTCATTTCCACCATCTCTATTTAGTTCTGTTTCATAACCCCCATCTTTGTTTTATGGATGAAGTAGTAGTCTTTATCTTTCTGAATGTAATTGTGTAGTGTTTGTTTGTTTTAACGATAGCTTTTAGAAATTCCTGAAGATTCATGTGTTAACTCTCTCTGGAGGGGCTCCTCCCTTTGTTGAAGACAGCATGGGCATCTCTAGACATTTGCTGATTTGACATTTGCAGACATTACTTTGTCCGGCCAGCAGTTTTTTCTCCCATATAATCCCATCTATTCTGTGCATTTTTGGGGACTCCTCCCAGTTTCAAGTCTACCAAGAAGTCCCCTTCTTATTTACAAGTGGGATGGTTAATTTTCTGTTAAATTGTTGAATATTTTTTCTTATTGGTATGGATTTAGTGCAGAGAGGGGTATGTCACAGGCCAGGGTTTAGCAAAGGTCGAGGATCTCCAGAGAAACAGAACCAACAGGATGGATGGATAGAGAGATAAATGATAGATAGATAGATAGATAGATAGATAGATAGATAGATAGAAGATTTACTGTGAGAATTGGCTCACACAATTATAGAGGTTCAGAGGTCCATGATATGCCATCTGCAAGCTGGAGAACCAGGGAAGACATGGTATAATTTAGTCTGAGTCCAAGGCCTGACAACTTGGAGTTACATTGCTTGAGGGCAGAAGAAGATGGATTTCTCTGCTCAAGGAGAGACAGAGAAAGAGTGAATCTGCCTTTCCTTTGTCTTTTTGATCTATCCATGCACTCAAAGGATGGGATGGTACCTGCTAGCATTGTTGAGGGTGGATCTTCCTTTCTCAGTTCACTGATTCAAATGCTTATCTCTTCTGGAAACACCCTCACAGATATACCCAAAAATAAGATATAACACTTTACCAGATACCTTGGTATCCCTAATCCCAGTCATGTTGACACCAAAATTAAGCATCACAGGGCAACTGTAGCATTTGATGGCCTATTGTCTTGAAGCAGGACTCTCTCCCCTGGTTTTAATTTTCTTTATGAAATTCATTTAATATTTCATTGTTGGCTATTTTATACTTTCTGTTGCTATTGTTAAGGGGACATTTTTCCCAAAACATTATTATTCTATGTTGGGTTCTCCAGGCAGCTGACTCTTGGAATCAATGCTATGGGGGAGAGGAGAAGGAAGCAGGACTGGACAGACAGAGGTCAAGGTCAAGTTCAAGAGAGCTCATGGGGCTGGGCGCGGTGGCTCACGCTTGTAATCCCAGCACTTTGGGAGGCCGAGGCGGGCGGATCACGAGGTCAGGAGATCGAGACCATCCTGGCTAACATGGTGAAACCCCGTCTCTACTAAAAATACAAAAAAATTAGCCGGGCGTGATGGTGGGCGCCTGTAGTCCCAGCTACTCGGGAGGCTGAGGCAGGAGAATGGCGTGAACCCGGGAGGCGGAGCTTGCAGTGAGCCGAGATTGCGCCACTGCACTCCCGCCTGGGCCACAGAGCGAGACTCCGTCTCAAAAAAAAAAAAAAAAAAAGAGAGCTCATGGGCCAGGCAGGCCTGATGACCTTAGTTGACCCCATGAGGATCCCAGGAACTAAAACACCCTGTTGGAGGTGTCCAGTTGGGGTTTCATCCTTGCTTCCCTCAGTCACTGGATGTGTACAGCCTTGGGAAGGCCACCCTTGGGAAGGTCAGGGTGGCCATCTCCTGTTGAGGCTGTCCATCTCCCGTTGAGGCTGTCCCTGAAAAGACTGGCATCTGAAGGCTGCTGACTACATTCCCAGCAGGTGGAGCAAGAAGTCCCTCTATGAAGGGGATTTGAGCAGCACATCTCTGTGCCTGTCACAGTTTTTAACTGGCTGCTGTATTTATAGGAAAGCTATTTACTTGCATATATTTATCTTATATTCAGCCACCTACAGAAGTCCCTTCACTGTAATTAGTTTTCTATTTTTTAGAGGGATGTAAGTATACTAAACTAAGATAAACGTGGCTGTTTACAAGAGTCCTACCTCCCATTTCAGTTTCCTGTGTTATTGCATTTGCCAGAATTTACCAACAAATGTTAAAAAAATATTCATAAAAACAGTCATAACTGAGAGTGCTGTTCTGTTCTTGATTGCCCGTAAGAATCTCGAGTGAGGTCAGCTGTTACCCTGTGATATGGTTTGGCTGTGTCCCCACCCAAATCTCATCATGAACTATAGTTCACATAATCCCCACGTGTCATGGGAGGGACCCAGTGGGAGGTAATTGAATCGTGGGGGTAGTTTTCCCATCCTGCTTTCATGATAGTGAGTGAGTTCTCACGAGCTCTGATGGTTTTATAAGGGGCTTTTCCTGCCTGCACTCTGCACTTCTCCTTGCTGCCACCATGTGAAGAAGGATGTGTTTGCTTCCCCTTCTGCCATCGTAAGTTTCCTGAGGCCTCCCCAGCCCTGCAGAACTGTGAGTCAATTAAACCTCTTTCCCTTATAAATTATGCAGTCTCAGGTATGTCTTTATTAGCGGCATGAGAATAGACTAATACGCTCTGAAGTGTCTCTTTTCTTTGCGTTGAAGAAAACTCCTTTAAGCCTCATAAAAGTGCAGTAAGTGGAGGCAGATAGCAACCAGGGTAGATATGTAGTGGATGACATTGTTTCATCCTCCTCGTGTTTATCTGATCACCATCTACTTGTGGCACATGATATCGGTCTTCCATCAAAATGTTTCTTAGTGGGCCCCTGTCAACTCCTGGTGGTTGGCTCTTTTGGCTTCAAACCGTGCATGTAACTGTTTATTCTAGGATTTTTCATGGGGCTGGTATCCTTAAGCTCACAGGGCTGCAGCCCCTCCAATCTACCCTTTGTCTCTCTTCATCCTAGAAGCACCTCCTGATGCTCCTTGGAAAGACTGGGAGAGCCATTGGTGCTGGGGGGCAGTAGTTTCTATGGACATGATCTGAGGGTCAGAAGCTCTGGGGTCAGGCAGTTCTCTTACCCCCTCAGACTCCATTTCCATGACCCTGAATAGTTCCCACTGGGGGAGACAGAGAATTCTAGCAAGAGCAGACCTTGAAGGCCATCTGCACTCAGCTAGCAAGGAGAGCCCACCTTCGAGGTGGCAGAAGGACACAGATACCTTGGGGGGTCTGCCCTGACTCTCACCCCTTCCTGTTCTCCCCCCAGCATCCTCTCCCTTTTAGAAGAACCTTCTCCCGGATGCAGTGCCTTATACCTATAACTCCAGTGACTCAGGAGGCTAAGGGAGGAAGATTGCTTGAGGCTAGGAATTCAAGACCAGCCTGAGCAACAGAATGAGACCCCATCGCTAAAATACTTTTTAGTTAGCTAGGCGTGGTTGCACAAACCAATAGTCCTAGGTACTCAGGAGGCTGAGGTGGGAGGATCGCTTGAGCCCCAGAGGTAGAGGCTGCAGCGAGCTATAATCATGCCACTGCACCCCAGCCTGGGTGACAGAGCCAGACCCTAACTCTATAAACAACAACAACAAAATCTTGTATCTTCATTTACCGTCCGTGGATCAAACCCTGTCTGCCCCAGTAACCCATTCTCCGATGATATTTTCTTGCTCATAGGTTCTGCGTGGGATGCACATTTGCCCTGCATTAAATCAGGCCTCATGTCATCAGTGTGCTGAGTCCTGTCCAGTGCTCTTCCCAGCCTGCTCACTCCAGCACTCAGAAAGTCTCTGCTTGTTCTAGCCTGTCTTTCGCACCTCTCCAACATGTGTGAATCTCCCTTTTGAATAGAGAGCAAACCGGCGTCAGGCCAGAGCCTTGGCAGGCAGAATCGCAAGTTGGCTCGCTGGCTGTTTCAGGCGCTCATTGTGCTTGTGTTCTCAGGTACCTCCGATGGCAAGTGGTACTGCCTTTCCGCTTTCTTGTCGGGATCCATAGATACATTTGTTTAGGTTTATAAAAGGGAACTGAATTGAAAGTGTGTATGAAGTAAACAATAGCGTAGGTGGTATGACACCCTGACAAAACACACAGATGGCGGAAGTGTGGGGATGCCATTTGACAGAATGAAGCCAGAATGCAGCCCACCATCCGGTTGCTCCCACCCTAACCTGCTCTGTCAAGGTGCCCTCCCATGGGCCCTCCATAGCCCCATGTGCTGGGGATGGTATGCAGCCCTGCCTTGGGCTTTCCTACCTGCAGACCTTCTTCCTGGACTGCCCTTCCCCTGAATTTTCTCATGACAAAGCCATGCCATCTGCCAGGCCAGCTCAAGGCCAAACTTTCCCTGGTTGACCCCCAGTGACTGCTGCTGGGCCCACAGAGCACCTCACCCTCCCTCTCTGGGGCTCTCTCTCCCATGCTACTGCACACTAGATGTTTCTGGGCTGGCCCTGGTGGGCAGGCTGCAGCAGTTAGAGGTTCCGCAGCATGTGCTGACAGCATGGAGCCTCACCTGCTTCTCTTGCACCTGTGCAGGCCAGCAGGATGGTGAGCCAGGCTGGGCACGAGTGGACACACATTTATCCAGCACCTGCTCCGTGCAGGGCACCAGAGTAGGCACTCTGTGTGCTCCTGGTGGGGGTGACATTGCTGGGTTTGTGTGGGATGCCCTCAGCTCTAAGAAACAGAAGACCCCAATTCACAGAGTCTTCAGCCTCTTGTGGTCATGCAGCGTCCAGTGAGGGGTCTGGAGGCAGGCAGGGGCTGCCTCTAGCTCTGCTCTCAGCAGGCTGGCTCTAGTTGCCAAATTCAAGGCCGTGAGTGAGGAAGGAGGATCCAGTGCCAGGCTTGACTTCCCAGAGCCCCCTGAAGACCCCACGGACATTCCATTGGCTTAGTGGGGTCCCAGGGGAGTTCTAGGCTGCCCCCAGTTGCAAGGAAGACTGGCAAAGGGATTCTTCTTACCTTTGCTGAGACAACTACTGCTCCTCCTGCAAAACAATGTTTGTTACTAAGGACGAAGGAAGGAATGGATACTGAGCCAGCAGCAGAGGTGCAGTGCAGCACCCAACTTGCAGATGGGAATGCTGAGGTAGAGAGATGGGAAGGACGTTACACAAAGGAGCTGGAATTTTGACTGGATCAGCCTGATGCCAGGGATGGCAATTTTCTAACACATCATCCACCTTCATCTTATTCTCTGGGGCCCAGAAGAGTCGAAGAAGGAATTATTCATGTCATCCATTCACCTGGGAAACCTGCTGGCTCGCACTTACGTGAGGGCTTGTGCTGGGCACCAGAGACATGGGGGGCGAGTAGAGCCAGGCCTATTCCTCAGAACTCCTGGTGCAGGAGGTGAGCTAGCAGGGCTGCCCAGCATCCAGCCCCATGTGTCCCAGAGGTCCTGGAAGCACAAGCACAGGGTCCACTGGGGCTGACTGTCAAAGGACTGGCAGCAGAGACAGGGAAGGTTGGGAGGAGGCATTTCAGCAGTGAGTGCAGAGATGCTGTCCACAGCCTGGGCTCTGTCCCCAGTGCTCTGTGCACCTTAACTCACTTAATCCTCAAATTAACCCTGCACTGATGATACTAGTCCCATCCTTCTATGTGCAGCTGGAGAAACTGAGGCACAGAGAGAGGGACTCAGAACTGGGCCAAAGTTACATGGCTAAGTAGCCTGATCACAGGCAGCCTGACCCCAGAGGCACACCTGACCACTCTGCCGTCCTGTCCAGGGTGGCAGAGGAACAGAGGAGTGAGCTGCAAGTCACCCCAGCAGCATACAAGCAGAGGGGCCTCCACTGGGGATGCCGAGTCCTGGGCAGGGAAATGGACAGAAAGACTCCTCGGTGGCCCCACAGCCGGGTGGATGTCTGGGTCTGGGTGGCAGGGGGGTTGCCTGTGGGGCTGCCACAGCCCTGGGTGTCTGGCCCCTCTGGCAGACACACAGGGTGATGTTTTATGTCTTAATTAAACGGAGAGGAGTTTAATTGATGAGTGGCCTGCCGGACGATGCAGCTTCCTGGCTTCCCACCCCGATGACTCATGCATGCGGCGGCCCCAGATGCCGAGCACAGCTAATAGATTTGCAACGCTGATCACTGCTCCAGACCCACTTAGTGAGGCTCCGGGAAGTCTCTTACGACCCTGGGATTGAATTGAATTGCTTTTCATTTCGAGCAGCGTCCATAAATCCCTCACACATCAGCCCTCCCTTCAGAGGCTCTTCCAAGCTCAGGCCTCCCCCACTCCAGCAGGGCTGTTAGAAGGGCAATGTTGACACACGTAAGAGCCACTCAGAACCAGATATCTGTGTGTCAGTGGCCTGGAACAGGGGCTCACAGGTGTCTGGCCTGAAGCAGGACATCTCCGTGGATGTTTTCTCGCCCACTCCTCACACAGCCCACATTGGGGCCCAGAGAGGGTGGATGGCCTGTGCAAGGCCACTCAGGAAGGAAGCAGGAAACCAACTCAGGAGCGGCCACAGCCCCTCACCCGTGGAGTCGCCATGGACGGGTGACTCTCTTTTCACCTCTGCCTCCTCCCTGAAAATCAAGTGTGGTGATACAATGCCCCCACTCCCATGGGTAAGAATTTAAAGGCGCCTGGATTCAGTCATTTGACAAATTTCTTTCAAGCATCTGCTATGTGCTGGGTGTGCTCTAGGAGCTGGGGTTACAGTCATGAACAAGGTAGACAAAGTCACCTTGGAAGTGACAAACCTGTTGGGAGAGGAAGTGGTAAACAAAAACACTACCAAGACACTTGGAGGTCGTGGCCAGTGTGACAAAGAAAATCAGGCAGGGCCACGCACAGCAGAGGGCAACACACAGCAGACAGCTTGGGTTGAGGCCGCGAGGAGGGGACATGGGCTGAAACCTAAAGGATGAGCAGGAGCTGCATGGGAAAAGTGTTCTGTCCATAGAAGGGCAGTGTGGAGGCTCTGAGCAGTCCCAGAGAGAGAGGCCCATGTGTCGGGGGCAAAGGGGCTGGGGCATCCAGGGAGAGTGAGAGGCCAGGGGGGTGGCTGGCTCATGAGAGGAGCTCTGTTTTTATTCTATGCACTCAGCCCACAGTGGGCATGAACAGGAGAGGTCTCCCCAGATTCCTCTGGAGCATTCCAGAGCACCCTCCACCTTCCGAGTGCCCTATGTCCAACTTCTCCCTCTGCTCTCCCTCCCCATACCCCGCGTTCACCTTCTGCTCACACAGCCCCCCTTTCTCATGGTCCTGCTTCATGCCTCCTCTCTCCAAATTTCCCCATCATCCACAGCCAAGCCCTCAGTC
Source organism: Homo sapiens (assembly GCF_000001405.40). Taxonomy (NCBI): domain Eukaryota; kingdom Metazoa; phylum Chordata; class Mammalia; order Primates; family Hominidae; genus Homo; species Homo sapiens. The sequence goes on along the minus strand of NC_000003.12, from coordinate 127,172,021 downwards.
CAGGACTCCAGGAGACTTCCTTGGGCCCCAGTGTCTCCCCCAAAATCCCTCCACATGGACACACGGCTTGAGGTCTCATCTTCCACTGGCAGACATTGAGTGTGCAGAGCCCCTTCTCCCAGAGCATGGCCTATGCCTCCCTGGCGCAGCCCCAGGGCCCTCCCTCCATGCCCTTTCCTGGGGATACCTCAGTGTGGCCACCAGCATCTCCCCTGAATAGGATTGGGGCTATGAGCCTTGGTACCAGGAGGTGAAGCTTAGGAAAGGGGTGATGTCCTCCCTGGGCTTGACATGCTGCTGCTTCTCTGCCTGCATGAGGTGACTCTGAGGCCAACACACCCCCCAGTCCTCATTAGCACCGAAGGGGAGGCTGAGGACTCCAGAAGGCCATGCAGTGAGTGAGACATGGCTCCAAGGGGTAGGTTGCTGGTGCTCATTCCAGGAGAGAGCCTGCTGGGAGGAGGTGGTTGACCGACAGCCCCCAGCTCCTGTGCCTTCAAGGTCCACGGCAGCTTTTCACAGAGGCTGAGGACCAAGCATGGCCAGTGGGTGCTGGGGCATTGAACAAATAAATGAAAAGATGAATCCTGGAGAAAGGAGCTCCTCCCTGGGCAGTCTGAACGCTGGGGCCTTCTGCGGAGTGTGGCCAAGGCTCTCTCAGAGCTGTACCGCAGCCTGGGGCTCTTCCTGTCCCCTCCTCCCTTTCTCAGGTCCCTGAGTCCTGATCTGAGACTCCCCCACCTGCCCCACCTCCTTTCCCTATGTTCCCCAATGGTGTTTCCCTCAATAAATCTCCTGCACACCTCATTCCATCTCAGTGTCTGCTTCATGGAGGACCAGAACTGACACGCTACATGGTCCTGGCTGGACAAGCTTGCCTCTCTGGCTCAGGTTCATGACACTCCCACCTGTGCCCTGTGGCCCCACCCCTGCTGTCCAGGAGGGACATCCAGCCCACGCCACCCCCACCCCATGGCCAGCCACACTAACTGCCGCACACCAGAGGGCCTTCTTGGCAGAATTCCTGGTGCTCCCAGGCCTGTGAGCTGGAAGGTGATCTCATCCCCAGGCAGTAACCATGGAAACAGAGCTGTGAGCCGCTATGGCTCGCACGGGGATGAGGTGCCTCAGTGCCCCTCACCCAAGCCAGACCCAGACCCTGGCAGGCAGGGACCCCTCATCGGAACATCCCCAGGATTTGCCAAGAGGGATGACAACCAATCTCACCCTGAAGAAGATGCCCCACCTCCCCCCAAGCCCACCTGAGTTGCAGGCTTTGTTACCTCCAAGGACAGTTTTAAAATCCCAAAGTGCAGGTATGTACGGAGCACCTGTTAGACCAGGCATTTCACCTGGCTGACAAGTCATATAATTGCTCTGAGCCTCAGAGAGACTAAGGGATTTGCCCATACACATGCAGCTCATGGAAAAACTGGAATTCAGACCCGAGTTTCCTTCCACCAGGTCCAGAGCCTTGGGGGAAGCGTGGGAAGGTAAGAGGGTTGTGTTGGAGTCTGAGGCGACTGAGCTCAGACTCCAGGATGGCCAGGTGTCAGGGCACGCTCTAAAGTAACAGTGACTAAAGCAACATGTGGTGCTGCCACAGAGACAGACATGAGGCTGGAGAAGAGAATTCAGAGCCTTGAGATAGAGCCCTGTCAGATACATGAGGAGTTAATCATTCACAAATACTCAAGACTAAATAACGGCGAAGGGGAAAATAATTTACAAAATGATGCTGAGATAGCTGGAGATCAATTCTGAAAAGAAAAAAGAAGCATGTATATTTTGCATCATAGACTCATTTAAACTTAGATAAAGATTTGACTATAAGAAATCCAATCATAGAAAACCTAGTGGAAACACAGTTGATGCTTTGGCAGATATATGGAAGTATTAACACCTGCCTGTCTTGGAATTGAAGAAATTAAAGAAGAGATGGGTTTAATAATGTAAACATAAAAACTTTCTGGACATTAGAAACTAAAATGATTGGGAAACATTTGCATCAAAAGGGCAGAGGGTCCATGTCATCCACAGCTGTCTTAGTCTATTTGCATTGCTGTAAAGGAATACCTGAGGCTGGGTAATTGATAAAGAAAAGAGGTTTGTTTGGCTTATGGTTCTGCACGCTGTACAGGAAGCATGGTGCCAGCATCTGCTTCTGGCGAGGCCTCGGGCTGCTTCCACTCATGGCAGAAGGCGAAAGGGAGCCGGCATGTATAGAAATCACATGGCAAGAGAGGAGGAAAGGAGAAGAGGTGGCAGACTCTTTTTAACAAGCAGGTCTTGTGTGAACTAATAGAGCAAGAACTCACTCATTACTGGAGGAGGGCACCAAGCCATCCAGAAAGGATCCACCCCCATGACCAAAACAATCCCCTCCAGGCCCCACCTCCAACACTGGAGGTCACACTTCAACATGAGATTTGGAGGGACAAACACCTAAACTATATCAGTAGGTTACAAATATTTCTGCAAACAAAAATTCTCTTAGTTAAATGTGGGTAGGGCTAGGGGAGAAATGCAGCTAGTGGCCAGCCAGGGCAAACATTTCACCTACTCTTGTAATCAAAGACCTGGAAATGAAATAATGAAAACAATGGCAATTTTCCACCTGAATTAGTGAAAGTCGAAAACTGAAATAAGTGCCAGCAAGGCTGCCCAGCAACGGTTGGTTCCAGGGCCCCCATGCACACAGCAGCATAAATCCACCCTGTCCTACGGAAGAGCAACTTGACAGCACATGCAGAGCCAGAAAAAACACACTGAAGCCCCTGCCCCCAGTGATCCCACCCCTGGGAATTCATCCTCAGGAAACAATGCAATAGAAGGAACAAAAAAAGCCAAGAATGAGAATATATTGGTTGAAGCACTTTTTAGTATTTTATTATGGAAAATGTCAAATCTACACAAAAGTAGAGCAAATAGGATAATGAACCATGTGCCACCCCCCAGCTTCAACAGTTAAAAGCTCACAGCCTATATTATTAGTATTTTAAGGCAAATCCCAGACATCATCGTATCATTTTATCCATAAATACTTCCATTTGTGTCTCTAGCACATAAGGACTTTAAAAATCTAATCACAGTATCATTGCACCCAACACATTCATAATTCTTTAATATCTTTTAATTCTCAGCCCATGTTCAAATCTCCTCAGATGCCTTTAGCTATGTTTTTAGAGTTGGTTTGTTGGAATCGGAAAGCAGATCGAGGTATTACATTGGTTGCTGTATGTCTTCTCATTCTCCTTTATTCTGTAACAGCTTCCCCTTCCTCTTTTCTTTATTAATTGAAACATCTTAAAATAATGCCCTCAAAATGGAAAGCTATCTACATGCCCAGTGCCAGAGACACTTAGGTAGTGTATGATGCAAGGGCCTGGGGTGCCCCGGTCCCCCTGCTGTCCCCGGCAGCACAGGCTAAATATAACTCAGAGCAGCTGGCCCCAGGCTGACCTGGAAGGGCTCCTGCATCCTGGTGCACACTCACCAGCTCGGCCACCACAGTGACTTGGCTCCTAGACTTGGCTGCACCCTCAGCCTCCCTCCCTCAGCTCTGGCAGCCTGGACACGGCCATTTGTTCACTCATGGCATGTTGGACCTGGCCTCATTTCCAGACTTCCCTCTCATGGCTGTGGCCAACCCATTGCACTCAACAGCTGCAGGGGAGCCCACCCCACTTCATTCATGACAGCGTTCAGCCAGACAAAACCGCCAGCCAGGAGACCACTGGCAACATAAGAAACATCCCAGTGGGGTGTCAGGTTGAAAGACCACCACCCAACCCTGCCCATGGCCAGTGCTTGCATCTGGCCAGGTAGGTTGCTCATGTGGTGGGGGAAAGTGGAAATGTCCATTGAACAAATAAATGAAAAGGTGAATCCTGGAGAAAGGACAATAATCATTATGTTAGAAATGGGAGAATGTGGGATATGTACAGTTTCTTGTGATATGCTTTCTAATTTAGATGTAACTACGGGAACATATCTTCTTTTTAATTAAGAAAAATAACAGATTCACACCTTCTCCATCCTTTGAGTGTCAGCTGTTCCACCTGTTCGAGAAGGGGGTTGACTATTGTCACTCACTTGGTTCACCTGGGAACTCTCCCACCAGGGAAATGGCCAGGGGCAGGTGGGAGGAGATGGGCGGGCTCAGCCCCACAGCCTGGGCTCTCTCTGCCCTGTCCCTTCCAGCTCAGAAAGCCAAAGAAAGTAGCTGGTTGGCCAAGAGAGGAGGCTGCCCTCACCAGACACACATACCCAGGGTGTCTTCATCTCACTGACTATTTCAAAAGGTAGGTCTTTTATTACATAGGTATGGTAAGGCCAATAGATCAGGAGATGACTGCCATTGAAAAGTTAGTTTGTTACTCACAGTTCTCAAGAAGGAGGGCGTGCCATGCTATGAGGGCTGCACAGGGAAGCATGGCTTCCGTGGGAAGGAACAGGTGAGGCAGGGCACGTAGGCTTAGGGTGACCTAGTTGAGTCATTTCAGCGGGCTCTGGGGTAGAGGGGCTGTCCCCTGTTCTTGGTCTCTGGCCCTGGTGATCAGGACAGGTGAGTCATGTGGGCGCCTCGTAGAGGAGGCAGTTGGCAGAGTGGGCTCTGAGTTAGGTAGTTTGCATGGGAGATAGGAGAGGTGTGCCCCTGGGTGGGTTATTTGCTATCTCTAGGAACTGGATAACCCTGGGAAGGGTAGTCCCTCCAGAATCAGTAAGGCTCCAGATGTCAAAGTGTCAGAAAATAAAAGGCATGGTTGATACAGTAACTCAAGCCAGAACCTTGGGAGTCTTTTTTAACTTGTTTCCCTCCCTCTCTACCATCTATTAAATTCCCAAATCCTGTTGGCACTGCCTCCCATATCTCCAATGCATCCTCTTCTCATTTCCATGGGCACCAGCCTGTACCCAGCATCCCCGCTCTCCCCCAAATAATTCCACCCTGTTCCTCCCCCTTCACTCCCACACTTCCATCATTCATCACCTGGGTGGGGGAGACCACCATTTCCAAAGTGGCCGAGACACCACCTCCTATTCCACGTGCTTCTCTGCAGCACCCCCACCCCATCCATGAAGAGTGAAATCTTTTTCTCCACCTCTCTGAATCCACTAGGCCCTGTGACTGCTCTGACAGATAGACTATGACAGAGGCAATGCTGTGCCAGTTCTGGACATAGCTCTTAACTGGACTGACCACTTCCATTTTTGCCGTGTAGGAAGTGAGACTCCCCTGAGCGCACCAGGCTGCATGCAGCTCAGGCCACGTGGAGAAGCCATGGAGAATGAGACACACCCTGGAGGAGAGCATGGCCAAGAAGCACCAGATAAGTGACGAAGAAGCTTCTCAGAGGCGGCTCTCCCGGCTCCAGCTCCCCAATGGCCATCATGTGGAGTCAAGAAGAACCGTTCTGTTGAGCCCTCTCCAAATTCCTGACCCACAAAATTGTGAGCAAACTAAAACAGCTAATTGAAGTCCCTATGTTTTGGAGCACTTTGTTATACAGCAGTGGATAACTGCAACATGACCCAACAGCCAGCAAGATCTTTTAAAAATGGAAACCAAACAATGCCACTCCTCAACTTCAAGCTCTCCAGTGGCTTCTTATTACAAAATCTGGACTTTTCACCATGGCCTGCAGGGCTCTGGACAGTCTGGGCCCTGTCCCCATTGCCACTCCCTTCCTCCCTGGGCTCCATCCACACTGTCCTCAACCCTCCAGCACAGTAAGTGCCTGCTCACATTCCTTCTTCCTGAGACACTCCGCATCTCTTCTCATCTCCTGGTCTCTGCTAAGATGTCATCTCCTCCACTTTACACCCATCTGGGTGCCTGTTAACAAGAAAACAGGAAATAACAAGGGTTGATGAAGATGTGGAGAAGTTGAAATCCCGATACATTTTATATGATACATGTACTATAAAATGATACACTTTATAGTAAGATGGCACTGTTCTGCTGCGGAAAACAGTATGGTGTTTTCTAAAAAAATTAAACAGAATTACTGTATGACCTGGCAATTTCTCTTCTGGGTAAATACTCAAAAGAATTGAAACCAGAATCTCACAGAGATAATTGTATGCCCATATTCGTAGCAGTATTATTCACAGGAGCTAAGGGGTGGGAGCAACCCAAGTGTCCATGACAGATGAATGGATGAGCACATGTGGTCTATCCACACAATGGGTATTACTGAGCCTTCAAAAGGAAGACAATTCTGCACATGCTACAACTTGGATGAACCTTGAGGACATTATGCTGAGCGATATAAGCCAGTAAAAAAAGGAAAATACTGTATGACTCCACCTATATGAGGTACTAGTATAGTCACATTCCTAGAGACACAAAGTAGAATGGTGGGTGCCAGAAGAGGAGGGAATGGGGAGTTAGTGTTTAGTGGGGACAGAGTTTCAGGTTTGCAAGATGAAAAAAGATAGAGACACATGGTGGTAATGGCTGCACAACAATGTGAATGTGCTTAATGCCACTGAACTTAAAAATGGTTAAGATGATAAATTCTGTGTTATGTATATTTTACCACAATAAAAAATACGAAAAGAAAAACCACCCAGTCTCTTTCTCAGAGAGCCCTTCCACACTATCTAGGTTGTGTCCTTCTTTCCAGACCTTCAGTCATGATTTACTAAGCACCAGTTCCACACCAGTCACTGCATTAAGTGGGAAGATGGAATGCACCAGGCCATGGCCTTGGCTCTGGCATTGTCATGGGGAAGACAGGCATCAGGCAGGCAACTGAGACAGTCATCAACTTCGGCAGATGCTATGAGACAATGAGACAGGCCGGTGTGCTGGTGACTTCCAGGTCTAGACAAGCCCCTTTTCACCCTTCATGTGTGGCCATGTGCAAGTTGCTGAGTCACCCTGTGCCTCAGTTTCCCCACCCATAAAATGAGATGATACTATCTTCTCACAGCATTGATGGGAGAGAAAAAGGAGGCAATACCTCTTCCTGCCTTCTCAGTTGAATGGGTAATTCAAACCAGCCACATTAAACTCACTGGAGAGATGCTGGGGAATTGGCCTCATCACCTCTCTCCTGTGGACTTTGAAACAAAATGAGAAGAGCCCCTGTGTCACGTGACTGATGAGGGACTACGCCTGACACCTCTTCTCACATTTGTCCCATAGGGTCGAGCCACGCCGTCTTTCCTGCCTTGTCTCCCAAGCCACAGGGCTGGAGGGCCCTGGCTGGGAGGTGAGGCAGGATAGCTGAGGCCATCAGACTGGGTTGTGGAGGGCAGGAGGGGAGCAGGGAACCCTGGTACAGGGTCATGTGTGGTCTCACACTGATGAGTGCTGGCTGGGGGCTCTACAAACAAAGGTGAGGCTCTGACCCAGCAGATCTGGGTTTTTGGGGGTGCACATAACTGAGACCCAGGAGAACAATGAGCCCCCTCCTGTTCCTCATTTGTGCTTCTGCAACTGGGAACAAAGCAGAAGCTATAAAGATTAGTATCTATAGGTGCTAGCCTATAGTTGATGAAGCAGAAAGTAAGATCAGAATATGCTCCTTAGGGTGAGAAAGCAAACAAGAGAGGAACCACGAGAGCCACTGCCCTGCCAGGTGGATGAGGCTGCCAGGTGGATAAGGGAGCTGAAGGGTGGGGAGAGACCCCATCCACCTCTGCCACAGCACAAGAGCCCAGCCAGGAATAGTGTGGATCTGCAGAGGACGTTCCTGCAGCTGAAAGGGGCCAGAGACTCCCCTGAGGAGGGAGAGTGGGGTCCAAGTGGAGACCTTTGCCCCTAAATTCTCCAGCAATGTGAACTTTTAACTGCTTTACTTGGACAAAAATGCGGAAGGTTTTTTAAAAATACCGTAGTAAATCATAATAAAGACAGATTGGAAGAATTCATTTTGAGGTTTACCTTTATGGAGCTCTGCTTGCACCTGCACCTCACCGTTTTTTTGTTTGTTTGTTTGTTTTTGAGATGGAGTATCACTCTGTTGCCCAGGCTGAAGTGCAGTGGTGCGACGTTGGCTCACTGCAACCTCTGCCTCCTGGGTTCAAGCGATTCTCCTGCCTCAGCCTCCCGGGTAGCTAAGACTATAGTCATGCACCACAATGCCCAGTTAATTTCTATATTTTTGGTGGAGATGAGGTTTTGCCATGTTGGCCAAGCTGGTGTCGAACTCCTGACCTCAATTGATCCACCCACCTCGGCCTCCCAAAGTGCTGGGATTACAGGTGTGAGCCACCGCGCCCAGCCATGCTTCACCTTTTATCTCACTCATCCCTGATAAAGCAGGGTCTGAAGGAGACCCATAGTCCAGGGTGAGAGGCAGGCTCTGAGCACTGAGGTGATTTACCCGCAGCCAAAAGCTGGAAAAAGACAGAGCCAGAGTTTGAGTCCAGAGTCTATTTCTGGGGCCCAGTGCTCCCCTTACAGCCCAAGAATGCCCAGGCAAGAAGGAAGGCAATCCTTACCCTGAAACGAAGTCCGGAAGTCCCCTGCGACATCAACCCCAGGGAGAGAGCCCATGTCTCGTCCCCACCATCCCCCAGCACTCAGCAGTTTGTGAATATCTAACAAAAATGAGCTACATGGTGGAGGGATACCCACTGAATCCCGCTGTGTTCAAACCTGTCTGGTCCTCCCAAAACACCAATGTGCTGACCCTGCCAGCCTACCGCGAGCTTCCTGCCTTCCACCCTCTCCAAAGCCTGTGGCCCTCACAATTTACTGCTCTAATTACAGGCTGTCTTCCCAAGGTTTAGTTTGCAAAAGCCTTGCCTTCCCCAGGGAGAGGGAGACGTCTTCAGGATGGGATGTCTCTCTTCTGCTCGTGCACCTCCCACAGGGCACGGGACCAAAGCTGGGAACTGACTTGTTGGCAGGACAAGGGAATTCTTGAAGGCTCTGGGACCACTCAACAAGTCAGAGGCTGAGGCTGCAGCGTTAGCATGCCCGGAAGTCCCCTTGCCGGGCAGCAGGATTGGGCCCTTGGGTCCTGTTTTCAGCACCGTGGAGTGGACAGCTCCTCAGCTGCTGCCCCCAGCTCTGGGCCCAAGTCGGGTCATTGGCTCCTTAGGGAGAGGAAGCCAGGCACTCCAGCAAGGGAAATATGAAATTAAAAAAAAAATCGTGTTACAGTTTGCCCTATGAAACAGTTCTAGACAATGGAAATATAGCTTTATAGTAGCCATATCTAACAAAAGTAAAATGCAACAGGTGAGATTAATTTCAATATATAATTAATACAAAATTACTAATAAGCTATTCTACATTTTTTGTACAAAGTCTCCAAAACCTGGCATTTTATACTTACAGCACATCTCAATTTGGACAAGCCACATTTCAAGTACACTTGGTGATGTATCAGAGAACAAAATTGATAAAGTACATGGAGTTTATATTCTACTAGGGGAAACATTCTCTCTATATAGATATAAATACAGATGTAGGTGTAGGTGTAGACATAGGTGAAGGTGTAGGTATAGGTGTAGGTATAGGTGTAGACATAGGTGAAGGTATAGGTGTAGATGTAGGTGAAGGTGTAGGTGTAGATGTACATATAGATGTAGATGTAGTTATAGATTTATGTGTAGGTGAAGGTGTAGGTGTAGATGTAGATGCAGGTGTAGACGTAGGTGTAGGTGTAGATGCAGGTGTAGGTGAAGGTGTAGGTGTAGATGTAGGTATAGATGTAGATGTAGGTGTAGGTATAGACATAGGTGTAGGTCTAGGTATAGACATAAGTAAAGGTGCAGGTGTGGATGGAGGTGTAGATATAGGTGTAGGTGTAAATATAGCTGAAGGTGTGGGTGTAGATGTGGGTGTTGATGTAGATGTAGGTGCAGATATGGGTGTAGGTGCAGTTGTAGGTGTAGGTGAAGTTGGTGTAGATGAAGATGTAGGTGTAAGTGTAGGTGTAGATGTAGGTGTAGACGTAGGTGTAGGTGTAAGTATAGACATAAGTGAAAGTCTAGGTGTAGATGTAGGTGTAGATATAGGTGTAAGTGTAGATGTAGGTGAAGGTATAGATGTAGATGGGGTAGGTATAAATGTAGGTGTAGATGTAGATGTAGGTGTAGACATAGGTGTAGGTATAAGTATAGACATAGGTGAACGTGTAGGTGTAGACATAGGTGTAGGTGTTGATGTAGGTGTAGATATAGATGTAGGTGTAGATGTAGATATAGGTGTAGGTGTAGGTGTAGATATAGGTGTAAGTATAGATGTAGGTGAAGGTATAGGTGTAGATCAAGATCTGGGAATGTTATTGCTCTGAAGAAGAATTGACTGGAGTAGCTGGATAGTGAGTGGAGGAGGGACAGAGGTGGTATTGGAGTAGATGTCTTTGCAAAGGGTGTGACAACATCTGGAAAGGATGCTCCAGGCAGAGAGAGGGGCAGGTGCCAAGCCCTGAGACTGAGCAGCACATGAGCAAAAGGTGGCCATGTGGCTGGCACAGAGCTAGCAGTGGAGCAGAGGATGAAGCAGGGTGAGGCCCACAGGGCAAGTTACATAGGGTCTCACAGGCCAGGGGTGGAGTTCCATTTTGAATAAGGTTAGAACCCACTGGAAGGTTATGAGCAGAGGCATGACACAATCTGGCTTAGATTTTGTGATGGGCACTGTGTCTGCTGAGTGGAGAGCAGACAGAAGGGGCCAGGATGGAGCAGGAGCCCAGTGAAGAGATGCTACAATAATGGCCAGCGGGGAGACTACGGTGGCCTGGACCAGAGTGCTGGGTGCTTGGGAGAAGGAGCCACAGGGCTTTCTGATGCACTGGATGCAAGGTGTCCCAGAAAGAGCAAACCAGGGATGACCCTTAGATTTTAGCTCAGGCTAAGAAATTAGGCAGCAGCTCTTCCCCTATGTGGGCGAGCTGTGAGAGGAGCAGGTTTGGGGAGGGACTGGTGCATTGTCAGGAGCTCAGTGGGGGCCATGTTGAGCTTGAGATGCCTATAGGATGCCCAAGAGGGGTTAGGGACACATAACTGGAGGTCAGGGGAGAACCAAGAGCTGAAGAGACACACCTGGGTTGGAGGTGGCACCGAAACCCCAAGGTTTTCCCCAGATGTGTTCTACTTCTTTATTGTGGGAGCCCCGCTAGAACAGAAGTGCTACAAGAGAGAGTGCAGGCCCAGCAAAGCCTCGCCCAACCCAGCAGCAAGCGTTGGAGTGAATATTGTGCCAGATTCTTCCTGGTCGGGCTGGAATGGCTAAGCCTTTGTGCCCCTTTTTACTAAGTTGCTGGGTGTTGCCACTCTGGGGAGGTCAAAGCCTGCACTGAGGCGGCTCCTTGCAGCTGAGGCAGATCCTGAGGCATTGACAGGTGGAGGTCGTGTGCTGACCAGCCCCTGCAGCTGGGCAGAAAGTCCATCCTCAAAGGGGGGAAGGGCTGCTGGCCTTGGGAAGAGCAGTGCTGTGAACAGAAACAAGTCCATTTTGCAGGGGGGACACAGGTATAGAGAGGTCCAGTGACATTTGCAAAGTCACCAGGGCAGCACTTTCTCTTCTGTGTGCCAGGTGTCATGGGCTTGGGAAGTCCCCAGAACTCATGCCAAGGAACACCCAGCCCTGGGCTTGGCACTGGGCATGCATGGAGGAATCTTGTGACTCTCAGGGTAATGGGATTTTGTCTGTGTGTTCTTTAAATAAATAGAGGCCATCTAATAGCTAATATACACACTGGGTCAGAATTCAAACCACAATGATAATTATTATCACTGTGGCTTATGGCTAGTATTTACTGAGGAAGCAGCTAAGTGCTTAACCATGCTATTTCATGCAGCCCTCAGGACAGCCCTGAGTGAAGCACTGTTCTTAGCCCCATTTTACAGATGAAAACATTGAGGGGAGGGAGGCAAAGGCACTTGCCCAGGGCTAGCAAATGCTGAGTCCAATGTCTCCCTGTGCCTTTGCCCTCCAGATCGTTTCTCCCACAGATACCACCGAGACCCCAGCCTCCCATGGACCTGCCCAGAGGTGCTGTATGCACAAGGCAGCATATCCATACATGGCATTTCTGTGAGTTTATCTCACAGAGGGGGGCATGCATTCACAAACAATCTGTCCTTGTTGCAAGCACGTCCTCACTTCATACGTGAGAAAACTGAGTTTCTGGCAGTGAGGCTCTCGACTCAGGGTCTGTAAGCTGGGTTCCTGGGGCGGACGCTCCACCTCCCCCACTTCCCCAGGTGGTGTCAGGAGGACCAGTCCCCCTCCTCCCTCCCCCAGCCAGCTGCAGCCTCTCATCCCCTCCCCCATCCCCAGTTCATTCTTCCCTTTTAGGGCATTAAGCACAGAAGTATTGAAAGGGATTGTTCAGGCCGGTTAATTAGCTTGGAAGAGGCCTCCGCGGCAGCCCAGGTCATAGCCATCCACCTCTCTTTATTAGCTGAATTGATGGAGACAGCAGGGCCCAGATGGGAATAAATTGAATCCAATGGCAAAGAGGCTCTTGCTCCAGCTCTTGACAGGAGAGAGCAGGCCTCACACTTTGCTTGCTGGCGTTTTCATAACGTCTTTCACCTGCTATTCCTGGAGGCTTCTGTGGGGGTGTGGCCAGGTCCCAGGAGAGCTCCCACCTGTGCCCTGAAGTCCAGCCCATAGGCCACAGGGAGGGGACACCAGTCCAATAGACACAGATGTGCTAACTCTGCAAGGAGGGAGGACCCTCCACAAAGCCAGGGCACCTACTAAGGTGGCAAAGGCCCTGGAGCCCAGGAAGCCAGCATTTCCTGCCCTGGGTTAAGGGGGCTGCTTTGGTACCTTCCCTCATTTTGTCCTCCCAGTAATTGTTGCATGGGGTGTGTGCCTTCTACGTGCCTGGCTTTCTTCCTATGTGACAGCCACAGCAGGTAGGCACTAGCTGTCACCCCCACACTGCAGAGGAAAAAGCTGCTCACAAAGAAGCTTCAGGACTTGCTGTCCAAGGCTGCCCAGCTGTAGTGGTGGAGCCAGTCTGAGCACAGCCGGCTGGTCCATTGCCTGGGCTGTGGGCTGCAGCCCTGCGCTGGCCTCTCAGCACCCTGGACAGGGCTTGGTCGCCAAGAAACTGTGGCCAATGCAGAACTTGACCTAACAATAATCACAGCCGCAGGGATGACAGCTGCCCCGTCCCCACTCTCTCCAGCCACACCTGCTTCCTCTGTGTTCCCAGGATGTGCCTGCATGCTCCCGCCTCAAGGCCTTTGTTCCCCAGTCCCTCTTCCTGGGGTGATTTTCCCTGCTGGCTCCTCCTTGTCACTCGGGTCTCAGCCCTTTGTCACCTCCTCAAAGAAGCTCTTCCAGACCACCCAGCCCACCCCAGCTGCCAACACACTGACTTGTTAACTTTCTCCAAAGCTCTCTCTGGAATGGTCTCGTTCATGTAAGTGTCAGCTCCAGGGGCGCAGGAATTTGTACATGGAGTCTCAGCTGTGTGCCCCATGCCCAGCACCCAACTGCTCAGGAACCATGGCTTGGATGTTGAGCACATGGACCTACTGAGTGCCTTCCACATGCCACGCGCTGCAGGGATTTAGCCCCTCAAGTCCACACAGGACCTTAGGAGACTTTAGTCCTGTTGCCATCCACTTATGGCAGAGGAGCAAGGGCTCAGCAAAGGAGGTGATGTCCCCAAGTCCACGAGCTAGTTAGACCCCAGCTGCCAGCCACCCAGAATGTGCCCCTCAGCTCTTCCTTTCTCCTCCCCCATCTCAGACCTGCAGTGACCTCAGGGACAGAGGGCGGGCACATGCTCTCAGATGGGGGTGATGTTAAAAGAGGGCCTGGGGGACTTCGGGGAAGTGTCCCAGCGGTACTTTCTGGAGACTCTGGGAAGGTGCAAGAGGGTAAACTGAGGAGTCCTATGCCCAGTGGCGAAATAGAATTATTCCCTGTGGCCCACAGCAGTGAATCCAAGACTCTTGTGAACCCCAAGCTGATCCCAGCCTCTCCCCTCCCTGGTCCCCACTCTTGCCACTATACTCTGATCCTCTAATCCTTTGCTGTTACCAGAATACATAAGGCCCTTTCACCTGCTGTTGCCTCAGCTTGTGTTGCCTTCCCTTTCTCGTACCGGTGAACTCCTATTCAACCTCCAACTCTACCTTCCCTCAGCCTGCCTACTCTCTTCTTTCCTGAAGGAGTCTTTCACCGCCAAGACTTAAAAATGCCAGACTCACAGCCTCGCAGCCTCCGGCAGCAGACAGTGGTGCAGGCTGTTCCTGGAGAGGTGGGAGGGGACCTGGTGAGGGTTTTTTTCCTCCCTAATGAAAAAGAGCCTTGTGGGAGGAAGTAGCCCCTGTGATTCCTGCCAGGCACAGATGTGTCTGAACGCTATGCTGAAAATGGCTGTGATTGTCATCTCGGTGACCACAGAGGGTGTCACTGACACACATTAACTTGAGTTGCCTGCCCCCAACCCACTCGTGTCCACAGATGCCTCCATTGGGGGGCTGCCTAGTGGTGGGGACACCAAATGAGGCCATCAGGTGTCCACAACCTCAGAAACCACCAGGAATCCCAAGCCATGGGAGGCCGGATGAGTTGTCAGCAGTAGAGGGAAAAGCACCCCCGTGCAGCCGGCTGCCCCCGACCTGCCCCTCCCCACCCCCCTGCCTGACACCCCACAGGTGAGAGGCAGCAGAGGAGGGGCTCACGTTGGGAACCCTGGACTCCCTCCCACGAAGGTACTTGTGCAGCAGGCAGCAGCTGGGGGTGTTCCTCCTGGGCGCTGGGCCAGTGGGGTTAATTGCCCATACAATTTCAGCTTGCACAGGGGCCTTGTTCATTACCGAGAAGCATTTCCTTGGGAGTGTTTACAAACCACCTGGAAAACCGGCGACAAAGAACAGATTCCCCACCATTTTACAACTGGCTTCCCGCAGAAAACAATCAGGAATTGAGGGCAAGGGGAGCAAGAGCTCATGCGACTCTCTGCCCCAAAGAGGGCTGCCCCAGGAGCATCAGGACCTCCTCAATCAGGGGCTGCATTTTGGACGATGGTTTGGTTGAGACAGAAAAAACAGAGCTCGCCTGATTCTGCTCTGAGGGAGGGGCAGAGACAGCTTCTGGCTGTCTCAGAGATGCCCTGCCCGGGAAGCAAGGGCCACGGAGGAGGGCACGGGGTTCTCCCCTCCTACTATGGGACATTACATCCTCTGCACCAGGCTGCTCTAGTCAAGCGTGGCGTGTACAGCGACATGTGTCTGATTCCACCCTTGTGGGAAATGGGGAGGGAATGGAAGTGGGGAAGGAGGACAAGGAAGATATGGAACAGGTCGGGGGGTCCTGGCCTGCTGGTGGAGGGCCACAGGAGGGGCCTACTCTGAACCGTGGCGGGCCATTCCCAGGCTGTGACCAACCCCAGGAAGGTGTGCACCCCAGGAAACGCATCTGAGATGCTCACAGCAGCATTGTTCTTCAACAAAAAAGAATCCTGGAGCAATTCCTGTGTCCGCCCATAATAGAAGGGACGAGTAGGGAGTGGTATATTCAAACAATGGAATCCATGTGGCACCGGAGAGGTTGATCTCCAGGCACACACAACAAGAGAGATCTCAGAAACAGCATCGCCTGAGAGTTTCAGGCCACATGTTTGATTCCACTCACACCCAGTTAAAAAGCCCAGAAAGCCTAAACGATCTGTTTCTAATACAGGCTGCATTCCTGGGTGGGAGTGATTAAGGGACTCCATGGTAGTCACTCAGGGTTGGGGTGGTGGGAGGCGTGGACAGGGAGGGCACACAGGAGGTTGCCAGAGCCTGAAAACGTGTTCCCATGCATTCGAAGTTCATTTTACTATGCTTGAAGCTGTTCACACACATTTTATACACTTTTGAATGTGTGCTGTATTCCACTAGATTTTTAAATAAGAGAAAAATTTAAAACCTTGGGGTGAAGAAGAGTCAATAGCGGAGACGAGTGGAGGAGAGGGAATGAGCGAGAGAGCCCAGGAAGCAGGAGGCAGACACACTCACACACACTCACATTCACACTCACGCTCACACAGACTCACACACTCACACTCAGACACATTCACACACAGACTCACACACTCACACTCAGACACATTCACACACATTCACACACAGACTCACACACTCACACAGACTCATGCACATTCACAAACTCACATTCACACTCACACTCAGACTCACATAGACACACACAATCACATTAACACACAGACACACACAGACACACACACATTCACACACAGAGACTCACAGTCACACAGACACAGACACACACATGTTCACGTTCACACACACACAGACACACACACTGACATTCACACACAGACTCACGCAGACACACTCAGACGCACTCACATTCATGCTCACACACAGGCTCATACAGATATACACACACAGACACACACTCACATTCACACACAGACACATAGACACACAGACATACATTCACATTCACTCTAACACCCACAGACTTACACACACACAAACACACACACTCATGCTCACAGACACACACAGACTCACACAGACACACACATTCACACTCACACACAGACACACAGACTCAGATGCACAGACACACACATTCATATTCACACACACAGACACAGACACACACACTCACACAGACACACTCAGAGACACACTCACTTTCACACACACAGACTCATACACACATAGACACACATTTACACTAACACACACACAGACTCACATGTACAGACACAGTCACACATTCACACACAGACACACACAAACACACGCACTCACTTACATTCACACTCACACACAAACACACAGACTCACAGGCACACTCACACGCACAGACTCACACAGACAGACACACACATTCACGCTCACATGCAGACATACCCTCACACTCACATAGACACAAACACAGATTCACACACACTCACACTCAATAGACACAGACACATAGACACACAGATGCACACACAGACTCACATAGACACACACTCACAAAGACACACACAGACACACAACACAGACATACACAGACACAGGCACAGACACAGACACACAGATGCACACACAGACACAGACACACACAAGGCACACACACTCAGACACATACACACACAGACACACAGACACACAAACACACACACTCACAGACACACAGACACAGAAACACACACACTCAGGCTCAGACTCACACTCACACAGACACACACACACAGAAACACAGATGCACACGGAAACACACAGTGACACACACAGACAGACTCACATAGACACAGACACACTAACAGACACACACATACTCAGACACACACACTGACACACACAGAAACACCACACAGACACACACTCCACACACAAACACACAGATACACTCAAACACACTCAGACTCAGACACACACACAGACTCACACAGACACACAGACACCCCACACACACTTCATCACACTCACACACACTCTAATACACAGACATTCACACTCACAGTAACACACATAGACACACACACATACACTCCATCACAAACACACAGACACATGCACTCACACATTCACACTCCACCACACACATTCACACAACACTCTTGCACTCCATCACAAACACACATATTCACACACACATTCACACACACCACACACACTGACACAGACACATTCACCCTCAACCACACACAGTCACACACACACACTTCACACACATTCAGACACACGTTCACACTCATATAAGACACACACAAACAGACACACTCACACTCTGTCACACACACATACACTTCTTCACACTCATATTCCTATACACATTTACACACACTCACATACACACACCCTCATACACAAACACACTAACACATTCACACTCCATCATGCACACATACACTCCACCACACTCACATATTCACACACATTTACACACTCACACATACACTCTCATACACACACTAACACACACATTCACACTCCATCACACATTTACACACACTCTCATATACAAATGCATACACACAGCTTGGACGATGGTTTGGTTGAGACAGAAAATCATACACGCATTCACATATTTACATTCCATCACACATCTCACACACACACAATCACATTCTTACACACTCACATACATTCACACACTCACATTCTCACATGCTCACCCACGCTCACACATACACACTCACACACTTACACTCACACACTCTCACACTCACAGTCTCTAATACAGAGAAAGATCCAAGCATGTAGCTTGTGCAGCTGATCCTCGGCCTGGCCAGTGTTCTCTGTCGCCAGCTCACTCCCCAGATCAGTGTCTCAGGAACTGCTACTACTGCCACCATCTCTCAAGCTAGGCCTGACCTAAGCAGGACCCCCCTTGCAGTCCCTTCTTGATCTCCGGGCATCCTCACCAGACCCACCTGTGATACCTCTGGCTCCCACCCTGTGTCCCCTCCACACCCTGCCCTTGTCCCCAGCTCAGCTCTCAGCAGGGCCCTGTCTGCAGAGTCTGCTGTGCCCTGCACCCCCTCCTGCATGAGACCCGTGCCTAGGGATGCCCTGGCTGGCCGGCAGCACCCCACGTGCACCCGGTTGGTTCTCCCATCTCAGCACACCCAGTGATCTTTAAGGAATGCCTTCCTTGCAGCCCTTCGCTGGTGGATGAAGCAGCTTTTCCCAGAGCACGCAGCAAAGTGTGTGCCCAAAGCCATGGACCCTGTGGACAATGCACCTGGCAGATGGGGCCCGAACCTCCCTGTGCCCTCTTCAGAGTCACAACTCCAGCAAGGAAGGGAAGCCTACGATGTCTTCAGAAGCCAGGCTGAGGGGCAAGAGGCCCAGCGCCTTCTATCTGCCCCTGCATGAGCTCAGCAAGCCACCCTGGGCCACTGGGACCTGGGGTCACCTTCCTGCTGCCTTGCTCTGTGCCAATACCTATTCCTCACCCTCTAGTCCTGAAGTCACAGCCATGCTCATCCTGAGCCATAGTCACAGGGTGACATATGACACCACAGTCTGGCCAGGCCCACCTAGGCCCACCTCCTCTCTGCTCCAGATGTGCACCTAGACAGGCCAACAGGTGCCCACACGGAATTCCCAGGGAACAAGCCAGGAGACACGCTGGGTTGTACCCAGGAAGGAGCAGAGTCGGGCTCAATGTGGCAACATCCAGCTACCAGCCTGCAGCATCTCCACTCCACTCAGCTGCCAGCTGCTCCCAGCATGGCCTGCAGCTGCTCTCGATGGAGCCCACACAGGAAAGTCTGTACCCATCCCAGGCAGGCTGGCAGTGTCAGGACAGCCCAGCCGACAGCCAGCATCAACACCAGACACAGTGGGGGGCAGTCTTCAGGTGACTCCAGTCTCAGACCCATCTGACCCCAGTGCTGTGAGGGACCCTGAGCAGGAACCACCCAACCATGTCAGAAACCAGGAGGGATCATGTTAACATGACTGTGTTGCTTTAAGCTAATATGAACTGAATATTTATGTCCCCCCTAATTCATATGTGGAAGCCCTAACCCCCAGTGGATCTGGAGGAGGGGTTTTGGAAGGTACTTAGGTTTAGATGAGGCCACAGAGTGGGGCACCCATGGTGGGATTATTGACCTTACAAGAAGAGGAAAGGCCAGAGCTTGATCACACTCCTGCCACACTGTGAGTACAGCATGTGAAGATGCAAGAAGGCAGCTGTCTGCGAGCCAGGAAGCCCTTACCTGGCCCTCATCTGAAGCTGAACCAACAGCCCTTGATCTTGGACTTCCAGCCTCCATAACTATGAGAAAATTAATTTCCACTGTGTAAGCCCCTCCAGTTTGTGGTACAGTCATGCACCACATAATGACATTGCAGTCCACAATAGACCACATGTATGATGGCAGTTATCCAGTAAGCTAAGATTAACTTATTATTGAAGAAAGAAAAACATACTCTTAATAAATTTAATGTAGCCTAAGTGTCCAGTGTTTATGAAGTCTACGGTCATGCAGGGTCATGCCCTAGACCTTCACATTCACTCACCACTCACTCACTGACTCACCCAGAGCAACTTCCAGTCCCACAAGCTCCTTTCATGGTGAAGGCCATATATGGGTATACTATTTTTTAATCTTTTACAGTTTATTTTTACTGTCTATTTTCTATGTCTAGCTATGTTTAGAGACACAAACACTTATATTTGGGTTACAATTGCCCACAGTATTCAGTACCGTTGCAAGCTGCACAGGTTTGTATTCTAGTAACAACAGGCTATCCCACAAAGCCTAGGTGTGTGGCAGGCTCTGCCATCTAAGTTGTTTAAGGACACTCTATCATGGGTACACAATGATGAAATCACCTAAAGATAAATTTCTCAGAATGTAGCCCCATTGTTAAGTGACACATGGCTGTATTCTATTACAGCAGCCTGAGCTAAGATATGAGCCTTAAACACTGGGACAGTTCATATATAACCAGGACATTATGGTCCAGGGGTTGCAGTATTGGAGATATTGGAGTATGATTAATGGCTGGGGTTTGTTATCTAGCTGTACCACTTAGAAACACTGACCACTTGGAAGAGTGACTGAGCCTCAGTTTCTTCATCTGTAAGAGGGAATAATAATAATTCTTCCTCCTAGCCTCGGGGGAAGGATAAAATAAGTGAATATGTGTAAAGAGCTCAGAATGGCACCAGGCACAGTAAACGCTGAGCGAGTGTGAGAGGAGATGGCAGGTGACAGAGGGAGTAGCGGGGCAACAGCTGCTACATACATTCAGTGACAAGAGGGTCCTTTGGTGCCGGTGAGAGTTTGTGTGCTGTGGCTGAGCGTGGACAACGGGTAAGCGCGCTTCATGGGCAACTCTGCATGGAGAAGGGAGGCCAAGAGAGACTCAGAGAGGAGGCTGGACACTGCAGCCTGGCCCAGGGAGTGGGGAGGGGCCTGTCAGGCCAGCCTGGGTCCTGAAGAACCGGCCCCCGGCCTCCTGGCTGTCCCCAGCCTCCCTGTGGGCAATGGGAAAGGGGCGCACCTATTCCAGTTGGACGCACAAAACTGGGTGAAAGGCCTCACCCTGCCCCTGCTCTGCCCAAACCACACCCTGACCCTGTGCCCCACAAAGCAGAGGCCTAGGTGGAAGGCCCAGGGTGTGGGCCGCTCCCTGGACCACTGCAGTGGTGGCTTGGGCAGAGTGGGGTTGAGGGAGGATCATTCTCCTGGGACTTCCTGTCAATGCTCCAGGGCACAGGTGGTTCTTGGAGGCACCGGGAGGAGTAGAGGATATTTCCCAACCTGCAAGTAATTTACTATGTT
This sequence comes from Homo sapiens, assembly GCF_000001405.40. NCBI lineage: Eukaryota > Metazoa > Chordata > Mammalia > Primates > Hominidae > Homo > Homo sapiens. The sequence continues at coordinate 127,150,824 of NC_000003.12, read as the reverse complement.
TATTAAGTGGCTATTGTAGGTTAAATAACCAACACCAGCTTATTAAAAAATCCTCCGAGATGATAATCACCCGGGTCTTCCATCTGCTGCCGGCAGCCGAAGCTGCTATCCTGCTGGGAGCCGGTTTTCATAATGAATCGGCTCTGAGATCCGGACAGTAAGTGACTTCAGGAATCGTCATCTCCATTTTCTCTGACAGCTTTATGCTCCATAAATACTCAGAGATTATTAAAAACATATTTATTTAAGATGAACAGCTCTCCTGCAGATACAATTCTAAGCCGATAAGGCTCATAAGCTCACTTACAATAATCAATGATAGTATTTAAACCCCGGAGTAGCTTTGCCTAAAGTCAAGGCTCTGGGCTCCTGAGAGGGGATCAGGCTGGGTTCCCACTTGCTGGGGCACCAGGGCCAAGGAGGCCATGGCCCTGGATCATCCGGAGGCTAGGAGGCCTAGGAGCTGGTGCTCAGTCTGTTAAGACCCTCTTCCCTGCCTCCTCCACAAGCCATCTCATCTCTCTGGGCCTCTGTTGCCCTATCTGGAGTATGAGCCTTTGGCTCTAAAACCCTATGAGTTTATTATGATTTGGGAGGCCACTGTGGGAAGGAAAGGCTGCCCCACAGAATGTTCATGGGGTTAAATGGGCATGTAGAGAGCCAGCCCTTAGGATCTCCAGGCTCCTCCCAAGACGGTGGGTCCTGCCTCACCTCTCCAAATTCATTCCACCCTCCTGCCCCTGGGCAAGACCCTGTACACCCCTCTCCATCCTGGAACACTCTTGCTGTCCACCCTCACTGCTGTACACTCATCCTTCAGCAAATGCTGCCTCTCCCAGGAAGCCTTCCTTGACTACCTCCCTCTTTCTTATCACAGCTCATGATCAAGGTTCCAAACTGACTGTGAGATTCTTTTGTTCTGCCCCTCTGTCCCCCCTGTACTGGGAACATGAGTACACGAGCAGGCTTGTGTCTGTTGGGCTCACCCTTGTGATCAGCACGGGGTTCAGGGCCGGGACGGAGTCTGTGCTTGGCACTCACTGCCTGCATGAAGAGGGCAGCTGCCCTGTGCCCAGCCTGGGAGGGTGTTTAGACCCATATGCGGTTTCTGGGCCAGCCTATCTTTTAATCACTGTGGCTTTGCAGGGTAGTTTGCCTCTGTTAGGGCAAGTTGACTTTTGCTTGGCTTCTTCAAAACAGACTTCACTTTTTAAAACAAACTTTCTCCTGTGTATACATTTTGGAATGAGTTTACTAGGTTAATTTTTTTAAATCCTGCAATTTTGAGACTGCTCTGCATGTGCTCCATGTGTGGAAACAGACCTTGGGTGTGGAGGCCACAACGACCACACTCCTCAGTTTACAGCTAATGAGCATCATCCGCCCAGAGAGCTTCCTTTTAGTTTCTTTTTTCTTTGTAGATAGGGTCTTGCTCTGTTGTGATCATAGCTCTCTGCAGCCTCGAGCTCCCAGGCTCAAGCAATCTTCCTCCCTCAGCAGCCAAGTAGACAAGGTGAGACTCCGTCTCAAACAAAAACAAAAACAAAAACAAAAACAAAAACAACAAATCTCTCTAGACACACACAGTAGTATAGACATGGGTCTCACTAGACACGTGGTATTATAGATGCTGGTCTCTTTAGACACACATAGTCGTATAGACACAGGTCTCTGTAGACTGACAGGGTAGTATAGACATGGGTCTCTCTAGACACACACAATTGTGTAGACATGGGTCTCTCTAGACACAGACAGTAGTATAGAACAGGTCTCTCCAGACATACACGGCCATATAGACACAGGTTTGTCTAGAAATACATGATCATACAGACATGGGTATCTCTAGACACAAGCAGTAGTATAGGCAGGGTAGCATAGACACGGGTCTCTCTAGACAGACAGAGTAGTATAGACACATGTCTCTCTAGATATACACAGTAGTATAGACACAGGTCTATCTAGAAATACATGGTCATATAGACACAGGTCTCTCTAGACATACACGGTCATATAGACAAGGGTCTCTCTAGAAATACATGATGGTATAGACACAGGTCTCTCTAGACATACATGGTAATACAGACATGGGCCTCTCATTAGTTGTACCCAGTGACCTCTCCATCAGCCATCTGACAGTTAACTTTCTTCTGGATCCTTTGATGACACGGAATCAGCCATTAATGGTGATGTCTATATATTCATCCATATTTTCAACTTACAATTTGTGTTTTTTAATGTGTCTAAGAAGCTGTCCCCTAGCATTGAATCATGACAATATGCACCTAGATGACTTTGGATTTAGAGGTATGTGGATAGCTGACACCTTTTCAATGTTAAGTGATCCCATCCATTCCTGAAGTCCAGAAAAAGAAAAACAAGGTTTTTAGTTGAGGGTAAGGAAGGGATAAGTGATCCTATAGCTGCCTCATCTGTGAGCACAGTCCCCGTCTGCACCCTGCCCTGGACAGCTCAGCTGAGGTCAAGAGGCCACAGCCCTGTCCCCAAGTATCTCCTCCTACCATTGCCCAGACATTATTTCCTATGAGCCTGCCTTGGGGAAAGCCAGGGGCAGGGCCCACAAGGTGATGGGGACATGGTGGGGACACAGGGCTAGCTCCACCATTAACAGGGAGACAGACAATGCATAAAAACAACAGACACAGAAAATATAATTGCAAGTTGCATTGTCCTTCTGAACCTAGGCATATATGGGAGTCTACACACATAAAAATTCCCTGAGCTGTACACTTAAGATTGTATACTTTTCCATATTTGTATAGTACCTCAATAAAAAAGATGAGTAATAAAAGTGAATCCTCTTCCTCCCCTTCTGCCCCATCTTCTCTCCTTCTTCTCTCCCTCCTCCCTCCCCCTTTATTTCCCTTTTCCCAGCTCTGTTGCATGTTGAATGGATTGGAGTGGTAAGGAGGGAGGTGGGAAGGGGCATTAACGGATGACTACCAATAGCTGGGGGAGAGACAGTGGTGGATTTTGAAGGGGGTGATGGTGAAGAGTGGAGTGGACAGGCTGAACCCACACTGAGTCCCCTGTGGGATTTGGAGGTATCTGAAATGCCATGGGTGGTGGCATGGGGGCCCTGGCTGAGATGGAGAAGGGAGATGTGAGGGCACACAGGGTGCTCAGGGAGGAGCGAGGCAGATATGGGGTCCCCTCCACTCAAGAGGCTGGGCAGCCACTGCCTTTCTGTGTTCCAGCTCATCTGCTCAACGGCAGGGTGTTCTCATCCAGAAGGGGAGGGTCCTGGTTTTCCTTGCCCCCTCCACAGTGTAAGTGTCTGGGGCCGGGCTGATGGGTTGGCTGCAGGGCATGGCTGAGGATGGCCCACTGAGGTGTTGGCCGCCAGCCATTCTGAGTCCATTCCTTCTCATTCCTTCTGCCCCCTCCATCTCCCCCGTCTCCTCCTCTTCTTCCTCTTCCCCCACACCCACCAAGAAGAGGTCAGCGACAGGGAAGACAAGTAGTAAGACCTTGAGGAAGAAGACAGAACAGAAGACTCTCGGGTAGTGGAGCTTGGGAGCCCAGGGGTCTGTGGCAGCCTGAGCAGAGGCAGGTGAGGGGTGAGGGAGTGGCTGGAAAGGCAGACACACCTGGACCCTGATCCCAGCTCTGCCCCCACAAGTGGTGGGATCTTAGAGGCTGTGTACCTTGCAGAGCCTCAATGTCCCCATCCACAAAATGGACTGGTGCCATCTCCATGTCCTTCATCATCACAAGTGACTATGCTGAGAGACTCCTCAGAGGGAACAAGATGTCTTAAACCATGGCAATTCCACCACTGCAGGCCATGTCCCTCACTGTTCCTGTGACCCCCGTGTTACCAGCTTCCATGCCTGACCACATGGGACCAGCTCATGGACCTACTAAAGGCTTTTAGAAACACAAAGTGTGGGCTTCATTAACACAGGAAGTGCCCAATAAATGTGTGATCTTTCCCTTTCCAGAAGTGGCCTCCTTGATGCACAGACCTTAGAGCAGGGTCTCAAACTCAGTTGCCTGCCCAGGCTGTGTGTGGCTGGAGAGAGGTGGATTGGGCACAGGTCGCACTGGCAGGGACAGACCCCTGGCTGCAGCCCAGAGCCAGTGAGCCATCTTTCTTTCACAAGTAGCTGGAAGATGGATTGTTATGTGAAAGCTCCCTGTTTCAAAATGTTGGCAACTCATGGAAATTGTTTAAAGCAGTCTGAGCCAAACAAAACTTGTGTCTGGCTGCTGGGTAGTGATGCTGAGGCATCTCCACTGCTCCTACATTACAGGGGAAACACAGAAAGGTTGGCCAACTGGGCCAAGGTTACACAGGAAGCAAATTGGGCAGTGGGCCATTGACAACTGGAAGCCATCCATCCATCCATCCACCCACCCATCCATCTATCTACCCCTCCATCCACCAACACACCCACCTATCTACTCACCAACCCATCCATCCATCCATCCATCTACCCCCCCATCCACCAACACACCCAACTATCTACTCACCAACCCATCCATCCATCCATCCACCCATCCATCCATTCATCCACTCATCCATCCACTCGTTCACTCATTTAGCAGATGCTTCTTGAGCACCTGCTGTGTGCCAGGCCCTATGTTATGGGTGCAGGGGACATAATGATGAACAAATATATAGATATAAATTCTTCTTCTCATGGATCTCATATCCTGAGGGAAGCTAATAGACAAAATCGCTCAGTTCTAGACTATATCAGGAGGCAACAGGGCTGTGGAGAAAACTGAAGCAGGGAAAGGGTCGCATGTGCTTGGGTGGAGTTGCAACTTTTAAGAGGGTGACCTAGAAAGGCTTGATGGAGAAGGTGGCCTTAGAGGAGAGATTGGAGGCCAGGTGTGGTGGCTCATGCCTGTAATCCCAGCACTTTGGGAGGCCAAGGTGGGCAGATCACCTGAGATCAGGAGTTCAAGACCAGCCTGACCAACATGGAGAAACCCCATCTCTACTAAAAATACACAAATTAGCCAGGTATGGTGGTGGGCGCCTGTAATCCCAGCTACTTGGGAGGCTGAGGCAGGAGAATCGCTTGAACCTGGGAGGCAGAGGTTGTGGTGAGCTGAGATCGTGCCATTGCACTCCAGCCTGGGCAACAAGAGCGAAACTCCGTCTGAAAAAAAAAAAAAAAAAAGGAGAGATTGAAAGGCGGTAAAAGAGAGAGCACCACGGGTGCTTAGCAGGAGCCAGGAGGAGGACAGGGAGAGGAAGGCAGAGAGGTCTCAGGCACTTGGTGGGCACATGTGGGCCATGGTGGAGCCTGCAGCAGAGGTGGGGCCTGCTCTGGCTTAGGTGTGACCAGCAAACCCTCCCGTGGGGAGCAGGGATGTCAGGGAATGGGCTGCCCAGAGCCCAGTGAGGGGGTGGGAGATGGCAGTGGCTGGGAATAGGCACAGCAGTAGGGGTGGGGGAAGTGGTCAGAGTCTAGACATACTGCGAAGGTGAGGCTGACGAGGTGTGAGCAAGAGAGATGGGCGTCAAGGATGGCACCATGCCTTAGGCCTGAGCACCTAGGGGGTGGGGTCAAGCTTCAGCCATGGCCATGAAGGTGGAGATGCTAGCCTACACCCCTAGTGGGGCTGCATAAGCAGTGATGGGGTTCAGGGAGAAGCCAATAGTCAGGGATCTGTGGCCCACCCTGGGCCAGCTAATGGAAGTGCTGAATCCGGCTTACAGTGAGAGACACACAGACTCTGGAGGGCACTGGGGAACACATGACGGTACCAGGATCCCTATGCAGCCAGCCTCATGCCAGGGGCTGTGCATGCACCATAGTGTCCTCATAGGATCAGGGGCAGCCTCTGTCCTCTCCTTTGAAGATAAGGAAGTTGAGCCTCAGAAAGGGGGTGAGAATTGCAAGGGATGTACAGCTGGTGAGGAGCAGGACCAGGATGTGGATACAGGGCAGGCCTGGGTCCTGCAAGGACCTCACACCCCGACACTGGAGCGGAGTGGACGTCTAGCCCAGCAGACAGAACATAGCCTACGTGGTCACTGACAGGCGGGTAGGGGCTGCCCAGGGCCAGTCAGCACCAGGGAGCATCGGCAGAGATGGTGAGCAGGCACTTAGACACTCTGGATGCCACTCATGAAGAAGAGGCACTGAAAGGACCAATCTAGACCTCAGATCCCCAAAGCTGCATTTGCCACTTCTTCTCACAGGTCCTATCAACACCTGCAATACAATTGTATCCTAAACGGAATCCGGCCACAGCCCCCTCCCACCTCCCCTCTGACTTGCATAACTGTACATGATCTGCAAGGGAGATGCAAAAATGGCTCCAAATCTCTCCCCTCTTTCTGCCCACATCCTTTGCAATATGATTCTGCAGCTTCTCCCACCAAAGAGTGGGCTTTATTTCCCAAACCCTTAGCTAACACAATGCACTGGAAAACAGCATGGCGCCTGTTCCAAGCCAAGGCCTCAAGAGCCTTTGTGTGTTTCAATCTCACTCTTAGGACCCTGTGACCAGAGTGTGAGGAAGCCAGGGAGATCATTGTGGAAGGGGAGAGACTGTGGAGAACGGCCCCGCCATCCCAACTGTGTTCAGACATCTTAGTGAGCCCAGCAAGAAGAGCCAAGCCCCAAAAGAAAGGAAATCAGCATATTGAAGAGAGATCTGCATTCTCATGTTTACTGCAACACTATGCATAATAGCCAAGATTTGGAAGCAACCTAAGTGTCCATCACCAAATAAGTGGATAAGGAAAATGTGGTACATATACACAGTGGAATACTATTCAGCCATAAAAAGAATGAAATCTTGTCATTTGCAACATCATTGGAACTGGGAGACATTATGTTAAGTGAAATAAGCCAGGCACAGAAAGAGAAATTTTGTATGTTCTCATTCATATGTGGGAGCTAAAAATTAAAACAACTGAACTCATGAAGACAGAGAGTAGAATGACAGTTACCAGAGGCTGGGAAGGGTAGCAGGGAGGGGGAAGAGAAGTAAGAATGGATAATGAGTGCAAACATAGAGTTAGATAGAATAAATAAGATCTAGTACTTGATAGCACAATGGGGTGACTACAGTCAACAATAACATATTGTATATTTTAAAATAACTGAAAGACTGGAACTGAAATGTTCCTAACACAAAGAAATGAAGAATGCTTGAGGTGATGAATACCTCAATTACCTCAACTGATTATTACACACTGTGTGCCTACCAGAGCACCACGTATACCCCATGAATATACACATCTATTAGCTACCCATATAATTAGAACTAAATTTTTTTTTCAAAAGGCCAAGAAAAAAGGATTCATAAATGAGTAAAATTATAACACCCTACTTCCAGAAGAGCGAAGCCCGCCCTGCCCAAATTTCCAACTCACAGAATCATGAGCTAAACAATTGGTGGTTGTGCTAAGCCAGGAAGCTTTGGGGTGGTTTGTTACACAGCAAAAGCTAGCTGATACAGCCTCTACCTCTCTGTTCCTCAGGCTCAACACCAGATTTCTCTTTGATTGCCACATCCTCCAGCTTCATCCCTCTGCTACCAGGCCTCTCCTTTCCACTCTAGACTGAGGACACTTTTTTCCTGGGCCAGCCAAGATTGGCTAGCCACTGCTGACCTGGGTGAGGATTAAATGCCCTCCCAATGTATCCTGAACATTCACTACACAGCAACATTCTCATGCTCAACTTGCCCTGAGCTTCTCAAAGTCAGGGGCTTTCTCTTGGTCATCTCTGCTGCCCCAGGAGCAAGGTCAGAACTGGTCAGGTGTGGAGCAGGCTGTAAGGAACATTTGTTTAGGAAGCAAATGATCTTCCCAGGATGGAGTGCTGACTAAGGAGTGGCTAAGTGGCTATGTGAGAGCCCTGGAACCAGCTGCCTGGGTTTGCAGCCTGGCTCTGGGTTTCAAAATAGTGTGTATTGAGCAGGTAACTAAATCCCAGTTCCCTGATTTCCTTATCTGTAGGACAGGGAGGATTGCAGTCCCTTCATCAGAGAGTTGTTTATAAGGATTAAATAAGGGAATACTGAAAACAGTGTCTGGCAGGCACAAGTCAATGCTAAGTATTGTTATTTAATAAGTAGCTGTGAATGGTGAAGTCCAAGGCCTTGTCCAAGGTTACTTGGTTCTTCATAGTCCTGATTCATCCTTACCTGATGTCCTGAATTTTGGGTCCCACTTTCAAATCCCAGCTTCTCAGTCCTAGGTCAGGCCCCACATCATAGCCCCTATCCCCCTGGAGCCAGGCCCTGGCTTCCTCCTCCCTCCCCGGCCTGGGGCCCTCCACCTGTCAGCTCCTCTCTGACATCCTTTCCTCTCAGCCGGTTCTCACCTCCTCCCAGGAAATGCCACTGCAACAACATTGATAAATATTTATAAAGGCAGCCGAAGAGATGGCGCACAAACAAGCCAAATAAATAAGCACATTTTAAAACACTGAGCTTGACAGTTGACTTCCCCAAGTGAGTCTGTGTGTGCGTGCGTCACGTACCTGCACACACTCCCTGTCCTCACACATCAGCTCACAGGATGCCAGAGCCTTCTAGGCCGTCACATTGGGACCGCATGTTTCACAGATGGAGAAACCAAGACCCAGAGAGGCCTGGGCTTGGCTAAAATTGCCCAGCTGAGTGCGGGCAGGCGGCAACCCGTGCCCAGCATCCCGGCTTTATAGAGCCAAGGTTCCTGCTTGGCCTGGTGTCTATAAACAGAGAACAGCTGTTAGCAAATGCATTAAAGGATTTCATGTTTACTCTGCTCTTATCTGTGGCAATAACTGTCAGTATCGGGGAGATAGCCGAGGTCTGTTTCGCAGGATGGCCATCAGCCAGGAGGCGGGGCTGGCAGCGACTGCCCTGACTCACCTGCAGTCTCCCGGCAGGGGCTTTTCCAAGAAGGGCACCTTCCAGCAGGACCTAAGGCCAGGAATATCCTTCTCATGAGAACTACAAACAGGCTGCCCTGTGTTAGGGGAGGAGGCCTGGGGCCTTGAGGGCTTTCTGCCTGGGTCTCAGTTTCCCCATTAGCCCAACAATGTGCCCAGACTCCCTGGTATCTAAGGCCCTTCACAAGCTAACATCCTCCATACGGATTCCCTAATTATCATCCTGCCCACAGGAAGAGGAAGCCCACACCCAATTCAGGTCTCATCTGCATAAAACTCCCCATCACCAGGCTATCAAATTCCCCCAAAGACCATCCCTGGTGGTTCATGGAGAGGCCAGGCAGGAGAAAGACGAGGTCACAGGACAGCTGATATTGACTGGTGTCATGTATCAGGGTTTCACAGGGCTCCCCTTTATCTGTGAGCCCTATGCCATGAGCCCCCAGTTTTACAGGTGAGAGCATCAGGGAGTGAAGGGGTTTCTCAGTAGCCAAGGGCCCCTGCTAGCTGTGCTAGAGCCTGGTTTCTCATGACAGCGGGATGCCACCACCCCACACACAGGGACACCTCTGAGCACCAGGCTGGTGTGGCTCTGACCTGATGCTGTCTGGCACCCGACAGGATGGGCCCTGAGCCTCCAGGAGTGTGGGCCACTGGTTCTGGATGCACAGAGTCAGGTTCCAGGTGAGGGTTTCAGGTCAGGCCTGGTGCCCCAAACAGCAGGCTTCCCAAGGCAGGAGCAGCCACCCTGGCCACAAAGAGTTATGAGGCAAAGCCCGAGACGGGCCATGAGGGCCTGGGGCCCATGTTCTGGGCTGAGAGCGCAAGGGGAAGGTGCGGGGTGGGAGAGGTGGGGAGGCCAGGACTGCAGCCCCCACCCCAGCTCCCTGTCCTCTCAGAGGCTGAGGTGACTCTGCCACAGCTGTCCCATCATCTCTCCCCAAACTCAGCTCCAGCAGCTGCCCACTTGGCCCTGAGTCGCCCCCGCCAGTGCCTCTCACTCCCCTGTCCACACTGGCTCTGCCACCCTTCCTGACTAGAGGGGGTCTGTTAGAGTCTCCTTGGCACCCGTGGTGCCCACCTGCCACCCACCCCAACCCCACTGAGTTCTCCGCAGTGCCCAGCCTGATGACACCGGGCCCCGGCCCCATTACCACTCATCCCAGCACCCGCCCTCCCCTTGGGGGTTGCTCCTCCTGTTGTTCTGGTGTGGAAACTGAGTACTCACACTCACCGGCGGCTGTTCCAGGACTGGTCCACTGGTATCCTGCTGAGGCCTTTCCCCGAGCAAGGGCCACCTCCTGCCCATCCAGGCAGGCCCGGGATGCTCCAGACAGCTAACGAGCAGCTGGGCCCTGTGTGAGTACCAAAGGCCCAGGCACCACCCATCCCTGCTGTCTCACTCCCCCTCCCCACCTCACTGCCCCACCCCACCCCAACACTGTCCAACCCCAGCCTCAGCACCAGCCACCATCTTCTCTCACGGGGCCCCTGCAGCCACCCCCTTGGCCTCCACATGGCATCATTTCCCTCCTCCAACACAGCTGGAGGAGGAAAGGCAACCGCAATGAGTGCACACCGCTGGCTCCCCACGCCAGAGCCCACTTTTCTCCCCAGCCCCACTCTGTGCACCTGCTGCCCTCCTTCCCACTCACCTCTCCCTCACCCTCTCGCTCACTCTCCCTGCCCTTCCACAAGCCCAACTGCCCTTGCCAGTGCCTCAAGCCAAGCAGGGCTCACAGATGCCAGCAAGGCCTCCCCAGGGCAGAGCTCCCTCCTGCACCCTCCTCTAGCCGGGAGGGCAGCACCACTGTGCAGACAAGGAAACCAGCCTCCAGGGGCTTTGCCAGACCACACAGCTCCCTCAGCATAGCCCAGGCAGAGGTCTGGGTGGGCACAGTGCAGCTGCGGACGAGACCTAGGGGCATTGGCACAATTGCCCACCACAGTCCTGGCCAGCGCCTGTGGTCGCGTGGGATTATCACTCACAAAATGGCCACGTTATAGGACATGATCACCCAGCAAGATCCAGGGTTCTGTAGGCCCCTTATTAAGAAAGAGGATCAAGAGGGGTGTCCATGGGGTTCACAGAGGGACCCTTGCCACGGTCTGATGGTGTCTGCTGAAGCTGTGATGTGCCCAGGATATGGGAACCAGGCTCCAGGCCTGGGGTCAGGCAGATGGCCAGGAGCCTGGTCTGCGGGGCCCAGGATGGGGCAGGACCCAGATGACCCACGGGGCAATCAGGAGGCCATCGCCCCAGGGTCTTGTCCTTCCTCAGAGGATCTGGCCCAGAGAGGAGCCAACAAGATGGAAAGGGACCACCACCAAAAACAACAGTTCCAGTCCTCGCATAGAAATGGAAGCTCTGGAGCAGGGATAGAGCCACAGTACTGCACGCTCATGCACACACACACACATTCAGACATAACACAGACACACAAAATGCAAACATCACTCACAGAAATAAACATGCACACAGGAGCAAGTGTGCATGCCATAAAAGCGTGCATGCAGATTCAGACACAAGCGCACTGACTCACAAGGCACAAATGTACTCATACACTCACAAAACACGGAAACAAGTGTGTATCCAGGCATATGCCTATATATACACAAAAACACAGCACATACACACGTGTGCAATCCAGGCACATGGCCCTCTATCCACACACACACACACACCCCCATCTCTGTCTCTCTTTCTGTGTCTGTCTCTCCCTCTTTCTCTCTGTCTCTTCCTCTCTGTCTTGATCTCTGTCCCTTTCTGTGTCTGTCTCTCTCTGTTTCTCTCTCTCTCTCTCTCTCTCTCACACACACACACACACACACACACACACACCATTCTCACAAGTGAGCCTCGCTGCCTTTGGTCTGAGCCCAGAATAGAGCGTCTCTCACTTCTGGCCCCTCCCTTCCCAGCCCTCTTTCCCTAATTAGCCCAGGAAACAGGGGCTGCTGTACCAGCCAATTCAGCCTGGGCCCGGGGCGCGCCTGGAGCACGCCCGGAGCTAAGAAGCACCTGTCACTTCGAGGATCCCTCTTAGCTCAGCTGACGTCTACCGCCCCTGGCAGAGCCCAGCAATGTTGGTGGGGCCAAAGCAGCCTCGGAAGAGAATCACACGGGCTGCCTGCTGGGGAGCCTCCCAGTCCCTTTTTGGCCAGGAGCCACTGCTGGGCTGCTCCACCCAGCCAGTGAGTCGTCATGGGCACCTACTGTGGCAGGCACTGCCAAGCTCTGGGGACGCATGGGTAAGCAGAAACAGCCAGCCCAGCCTGAACAGAGCTGTGTCTCAGGGAAGACAGGCGGGCCCATCAGGTCATCAGCTACAGATCATAGCTCCACTGAGGTGGCCCAGCCATGGGCACAGGCCTGTAAGGCCCCCAGGTGGGCATCTCACCTGTTCTGGGAGGCAAGGGGAGCTTTCCCTGGGGACCAAGGCATCCCAATCTGAGGCATTATCTGGGTGAGGCCGGTGAGAGGCTCCACCAAGGGATTAGAGTGTGCAGAGGCTTTGACCTGGTCTGCGCTCCGCAAGAACAACATGTGGCCACGTCCCCCCAGGCCTCCTGAGAGGCCCAGGCGGGGCACCCTCCAAGACCCACACCCTCAGGCTCAAGGCTCTGATCCTCTGCCACCCAGGGTGCTGCACACGCACTCAGTGCACTGGGACGCAGACTTTGAGCTGGGAGATCAGTTACAGAGATGTGGAAACTGAGGCCCAGGAACTGGTGGCAGTAAGGGAAGGAAGTGCCCCAGACAATGTGGCTAGTTTGCCAGAGTGCCTCAGAGAGCAGCTGGTCCAATCCTCCTCAAGCACAGATGAGGCAACTGAGGCCACATCCACTCTGACCTACTCTGGAGGAGAGGCAGCCACAGGGGCAGGAGTTAGACCTGCTGAAGTGGCCCCAAGGAACTGAAAGGGTCGCAGCAGAGCATATGTCTGTGTGCATGCATGTGTGTCTGTGTACGTGCATGTGCATCTGTGGGTGTGTGAGTGGGAGGGTGTTACATGTGTGCTTGTGAGTACATGTGCACATGTGTGTCTGTGTGCCTGTGTGTGCATGTGCTGGGAGCTGGCATGGAGGAGTTGGGACACTAGCAGGCTGGCATTTGACACCCACCGTGTCTGTTCTGCTTGGTCAAAGCTCACATCACGCAGTTGTCAATATTTAGAAAGGCAAAATTAGTGACTCTGGTCATGAGTCAGTCAGAGCCCGAGATGAGGGTTTGAGGAGGCTGCATCCACGGCACCTGAAAGCCAGGCCAGCTGGGCAGGAGTGGTGGGCCCATAGCAGGCCCAGGGGCACAGTGCCTGAGGGGGAATGCCATATGTGAGGCCAGTGCTAGATGGACCAGCCCATCAGTGTGGACAGTGGGGGTGGGGGGGTTTCTGAGCACCAGGAGGGGTTATGAGAGATGTGGTGGAGACATCCCAATGGCATGTTTTTCAGATGCCCTCCCAAGTGCCCAATGCTAGTCAACTGAGCCCGTCCTGCAGAAGCAGAGGAGCCCCGAGGTCTCCTGGCACAGGCTGGCTATCAGCTAGGCATTGTGAGCAGGCATGAGGTGTGGTGAGAGAGGCCAGATACAAATGGGCTCCTATTGGTTGCGTCCGCATCCATGAAGGTCAAGGGCAGGCAGCGCTAACCTCCTGCCAGAATAGTGGTTGGCCTGTGTGGCAGATATTTCCCTAGCGGTGCCACAAGTGACCTCACAGGTGCAGGCAGTGTTCTCTCTCTGGGCCTGGATGACGTCACCCATGTGGTGCATGAAAGATTGCAAGCTTACTGCATGGAACTTAGATGTCAATAGAAACGTCAAAAAGCAAAGCAGAAACCCACTCTCCAAAGAGAATAAGCGATCTGCAAATGGGCTGGGACCCACAGGGGGCAGCCTGCCCTCCTGCTCCAAGTTTAGGACTGAAACTGTGGGTGCCAATGGGCATCAGGTGGCACCAGGTGAGGATGAGCTGGGGGACAGAGGAACCATGACTGACCCTCCCCAGAGGGACAGAATCCAGGGGCACTAGCGAACCCAGTCACAAGTGGACACGGCCAGAGCCATCTCCTAGCCCAGGGCCAGGAGCAACATTCTGGCAGTGCAGGGAGGCGGGGCACAGGGGGGGAAAGAGGCTGGTGTGGAGGTCTGCAGGGCAGGGATTGTGGCAATGGTTACCTAAGGTCCAGGAGGTAGGGGTCAGAGGGTCAGGGAATCAGGTTAGGAGGTCAGGGAGAAGCTGAATGAAATCCCAGGAAAGTTCCCAAATTGCTGGCAACCTGCACTCTCGGGTCTCACCCACCAGAGCCTCCTGGGAGGCTGGCATCAGGGTGTGGACTGAGCTATGGAGGCCCTCTCCAGCTCAGTTCCCCATAAGTCTGCCTCCCTCGGGAAGCAGAAAGGTCCAAGGGCGTTCCTGCAGCTCCTCTGCCATGAGGCTGTGTCCACTGAGGCTCTACCCTGGCTTCCAGGCCTGAGGCACTGGGTGGGACACCCCCTCCCACGGGGCCCACGGGCACTCACATACCCCAGGGAACCCAGCCGCAGTCAGGACCATGCCTGGTCCGTGCCTCTCACAGGGAGCAGAACTGACGCTGGCTGGGGCATTGTCCAGGTCGCAGTGCGCACGATGGGTGCCAGGGAGGGGGTTCCTCCCAGGGACGCTAAGAGGTGCAGAGGCTGACTCAAGGCGGGGCAAGGGTGCAGCAAGGTCCCTGGGAGGCCAATCTGCCAACTTCAGGCACCCAGGCAGCAAGAGAAAACCTCTGTCCGGGCTCCCCTCTGGGGTTGGGGGCCAGGCTGGTGAAGAACACAGGCCCTCCCCAGGTAGGACCCAGCCGCTGGAGGAGGACAGTATGTTTTCGTTTTTGCTGCTGCCCCTCTGGAAACCACAGTCAGCTCTGCCTTCCCACGGAAAGAAGCAGGGAAGAGGGACTGGAGCCTGCCTTCGGGGAGCCCAGCTCGGTGCCTGGCACTGCAACCCGGCGCTCTGTTTCTCATCTTGTATGCACCTCGGACGAACTCATCCCGCCGAGGCAGGGCCGCCCGAGTGCAGGGGCTGCGCCGGTGCGTGGCAGGGCCGGGGGCTGCGATGGCCTGGAGAGCCCAGGAAATGGAGACGCTGCTCTGGATTGCTCAGTGGGAGCCCAGGCTCCTAGCAGCTCCTGGAGAAAGCCGACTCCGAGTTTGGTCGGGAGAAAATGACAAAGAGTGGAAATTAGGTCAGCCTCTTAAGGAGGAGGAAAAGAACCCGCGTGACGGCAGAGGGGCCGCGGGGAGGGTGCGGGGGCGGGAGAGCCGCCTCGCAGAGACAGCGGGTAATGGGAAAAGTTTCTCCAATTACGTGAAGAAGAGCGACCGTCCGCGCGATAACGGATGACTGGGAGAGGCAGGCGCTTAATGGGTTTTTCCCTGCGATCAGTTAACCCGAGCCCCGTGGCCCTGGTGACAGCGCGGGCGGGGAGGGCTCGGGCTCAAGGGCCCCCTGCGCTGGCTGTTTTCCAGTCCTGCGCCTGATGACACAGATTTCCCTAACAGTGACAGCGCGAAGAGTTCTCTGGCTCCTCAGACCTGCCCCAGGCAGCCGTCAGCCCGACGCGGGAGGGGAGCGGGCTGGCAGGGCCTGGCTGCAGCCTGGCTGCAGAGGCACCGCGTGCATGGACACAAATGTGTACCCTCCGGGGCCACGCGTGGGGCCAGACATGACCATGCACGGCTAGCCACCACACCACATACAGATGCCCAGCCCGGGGGCACAGCAGGACATGCAGACTCTTACTCACTCACATGCTTACTTCCAGACACACACACATTTATACATGTGCACAGACATCCAGATAGAAAGATGCATGGTGACGCGCTCACTCCCAGACACCAAGGCACACTCAGACACACTCATGTATGAATGCACATATGCACATGGACACAGACACACATGCACACACACAGATGCTCCATAAATATACAAGGACACACACATGCACACAAATCACACCTCCAGACACACACTGCCAGAAGCACGCCTGTGGGCACCATGAGCAGACGCTCCCCCCAACAGGCATGTCCACACAGGCACCCACATGCACCCGTTCACACACACACCATGGGCAGCACAGCTCTCATGAAGAGGCCCCTCCCCAGCCCCCAATATCCCAGCCCTGTAGCATGTTCTCCCTCCTCCTCAGCTGCCTAGGGCAGCCTCCTTCTCCCAGCTCCTGCTTCCAGTCTCACCTCATCCCCGGGTCCAGACCCCACCCCAGCAGAAGCCCAGCTCTGAGGGCCACCATCCCACTCACTGAGCTCCTCCCCACAGGAAGCCCTGTCCTCACTCCACCTCCCAGGAAGGCAAGCCTGTGCCGGCCGCCTTCCCCTGAGAAGATCTGGCTGCCCTGAGCCCCGGGTGATGTCCATCCCTGGTTCACCGGTTCAGTGAATGTGTGCTGAGCCTCCATCGTGTTGTGGAGCTGAATGCCACTCAGGATACACGGGTAAACAA
This sequence comes from Homo sapiens, assembly GCF_000001405.40. Taxonomy (NCBI): domain Eukaryota; kingdom Metazoa; phylum Chordata; class Mammalia; order Primates; family Hominidae; genus Homo; species Homo sapiens. The sequence continues at coordinate 127,134,458 of NC_000003.12, read as the reverse complement.
CACGGGTGGAGAGTCCGCCTTCATGAGACTTTCCTTCTAATGGGAAAGATGGGCGGTGAGCAGAGGACACATGCATGAGAAGCTCGATGCTGGCGAAAGTAGCCCAGAGCAAGGAGGGGACCAAGCCAGCAGGCAGCGGTGGGGGTGGAGTAGGAAGGCCCCCTTGAAAGGAGGTGAGGGGCTCCAGGCAGAAGGAGCACCACGCAGACAGGAGCAAGGGGCTGCCTGCCCCATTCAGTGGGGGACGGGAGGGGGCTGAAAAGAAGGCCCAAAAGGCACAGAGGCCCCCCCTGTGAGGCTGGACAGGCCACTCTGAGGCCCTGGCTTTGACCCTGAGTGAGACAGGAGCTGGAATGCAGGGAGGCCAACAAAGGCTAGCTCATTAGCCCAGGTGAAAGCTGTGCAGGCCTGGGCCAGCGCCAGTGAGAGGAGTGAGTGTTTGGGTCCTGGGTGTATTTCAGAGAGAGGGCCAAGAGATGTTGCTGATGGGCTGGTGAGGGTGAGGGGAGGTCAGGCCAGCCAGGAGCAATGTCTGAAATGGGAAGAGCCGGTGGAGGGAAGGTCAGAGTTCTAGGGTTTTATCTGGACATGGTTGAAGGTGGAATCATGACCCCCAGCGATATCCCTGTCCCAGTCCCCAGAATATATCACCTTTGTGGCAAATGGGACTTTGCAGGTATGATTAAGTTATGGATCTTGAGATTGGGAAATTATACTGGATTATTCAGATGGCCCAATGTGATTACAAAGTGGGTCCTTATAAGAGGGAGGCCAGAGGGTCAGAGTCAGAAAGGGACCTTTGAGGATGCTACGCTGCTGGCTTTGAAGAAGGAGGCAGGGGCCACGAGCCAAGGATGGAGGCGGCCTCTAGAAGCTCGTCCTCCATCCAGAAAAACCACCTGCCAACACCCTGACGCCACTACTTCTGGCTTCCAGAACTATGAAAGGACACATTTGTTTTGCTTCAGCAGTGAAGTTTGTGGTCATTTGTCACAGCAGGGAGAAGAAAATCATGCAGGCGTGTGCAGTGGGAGCTGTTAGGAGACATCTGTGTGCGCAAGTCATGAGGACTGGTGGCAGGTTGAGATTTGGAGGTCTGCCTCTAGAAGGCATGTGAAGCCCTGAAACTGGGCGAGTACAAGGACCTGCCTGAACCCTGGGAACCCCCAGGTTAAGAGGTCAGGGAGAGGAGATAAACGAGAAAAGGAGGGTTTCTCTAGAAGCCAAGAAACTGCTTCAAAATGGAAGAAGTGGATAAACAGCAGTGACAGGTTCGTGCAGTGAAAAGCCACCCTCAGTAAGAAGGGATCAGCTGCTGATACAAGCCACAACACCGGTGACTCTCACACCATCGTGCTGACAAAAGAAGCTCTACACAAAAGAACACAGACCATAGGATTCCATTTATATGCAATTCTAGAAAATGCAAAATAATCCTAGTGACAGAAAGCAGATCTTTGGCTCCCCAGGGCTATGGTTTCAGGGTGGGAACTGACTGCAGGTGGGCTCCAGGGGACTTTTTGGGCTGTTGCCAGTGTTCTGTAGCTCGATGTGGCAGTTGTTACAAGTATGAGTGCTTTTGTAAAAACTCATTAAATTGTACGCTTCCAATGAGTGCATTTTACTGTAAGTAAACTCTACCTCAATAAAGCCAATTTAAGAAAAACAACAGAGAAGAGAGATCATGTCAACTCCTGCAGGCAAGTAAGCAGGATGGGGCCTGAGAATTGCTAACCCTGCAGTACCCTTCGGTGGGCCTGGGCCAGAGAGGGTGGCTTAAGAGCCCTGGTGTGGATCATGATGGTCTAAGGTGATCAGGGCACTCAATCGTGTTGACCTGTAGCTGGGAAAGTGTGGTGGGCTTGTGACCCAGCTGTGGCCAACGCTGCCTAGGGAAGTTGGCTGGGGGTCTCTGGGAAAGCTTCTCCCCTAGTGCAACACACAATAACACAGGCAGGCCTTTGTGTCCACCCTATGTCTCCCTGGGGGGGAGCGTGTCACAGGATCGTGGGAGGCTTGGAGCTGCGGCCGGCATTCCCCCCACCATGGAGAGAAGGCAGGAGAAGGCAGAGACACTCACATGGACCCTGGTTTTTTTAGAGGGGTGCTGGGGGGATAGAGTCTCGCTCTGTCACCCAAGCTGGAGCGCAGTAGCACAATCTTGGCTCAATGCAACCTCTGCACCCTGGGTTCAAGGGATCCTCCCACCTCAGCCTCCCAAGTAGATGGTATTACAATCGTGCGCCATCATACCTGGCTAATTTTTGTATTGTTAGTAGAGACGGGGTCTCCCCATGTTGGCCAGGCTGGTCTCGAACTCCTGACCACAAGTGATCTGGCCACCTCAGCCTCCCACAGTGCTGGCATAAAGCACCACACCTGGCACATGCACGCTGGTTTTGTCAGCTCTCTGAAGCCACCCCGGCTGGTTACTCTCCATACCCCCACCCAGACACCCAGGGCTCAGAAGGCCGACCCCTGCAGACTCCAGCCAGCTTGGCTGCCTCTCAGCGACACTGGCCAGTGTGGGTGCTGGAGAGAGATTGCAGGGAAGTGAAAGAGGCTGGGGTGTTGGCTCCCATCCCTCCCTGCTCTGGGCACCCTTATCAGGAGAGGCTGCACCCTTCTCTCCCAGCGGCACCTTCTGTCTGGGACTCCTCCCCTGAGCTCTGGCAACACTGTTTCCTTCCCTAGACCTTCAGGCCTGGAGTGGGAACAGCTCGTAGCATTGCTAACTTCTGGGTGCCTCCATGTCCCCTGTGAGTCCTTGGGACCCTGTCCAGGCCTCTGTAAACAGTCCCTTCACTCAGACCCATGCAACTGCCTGGCTTCTGATTTACAGCTGTTACATGACCATCAAATATGCCTACACCTGAGTGCACTGCTGGTCAGCCGGAAGCACTCCTGACAGGCTCACTGAGCAAGCCCACCACCAATGGGGGCAGACAGCCAAGCAGATAATTATACGATCATAAATGCACGTCACTAAAGGTGAACCCCAGAGTGGCCTTGTCAGAAGCTGATGTACCCCTAGGTTCGGCACTTATGGGAGCTGAAGCATTCCACTTGGAATTAAGGCCATTTCATTGGGAATGTCAGTCTCTTGCAACCAAAATATCCTAATAGTAGTCTTAAACAGGAGGACTTCAATATATGCCGTGTTTTACTCTTGAATCTGGCAGCCAAAAACATAAGGGTTAGAATGTATACAAAAAGCTGAAATTAGTTAAAGCTAAGAACAGAATACACGACCTTTCTAAAACCTTGAAGTACATAAAAATCTGGTGAAACGGCAACAGAATCTGAAGGGGGCAAAAAGCAGAAAACCAGAAAAGATGAGAGAAGGAAGCTTGAAATTATTAACTACAATAGGTATTTAACATTTTGTTTAACAGTAAGTCTAAAGCAAGCCCTATTAAAGTTCATCTTTTCATATTGAGTAAAACAAAATCAAACTGAACACTATTCATAAGAGACGTTCTAAAGCAAAGTTCTAAAAAATCAAAGTATACCAGAATATGGCTGGGTGTAGTGGCTCACACCTGTAATCTTAGCACTTTGGGAGGCCAAGACGGGTGGATCACTTGAGGTCAGGAGTTCGAGACCAGCCTGGTCAACATGGTGAAACCCTGTCTCTACTAAAAATACAAAAATAGCCAGGCAGGGTGGCGGGCACCTGTAATCCCAGCTACTCAGGAGGCTGAAGCAGGAGGAGAATCGCTTAAACTGGGGAGGCAGAGATTGCAGTGAGCTGGGATCACGCCACTGCACTCCAGCCTGGGTGACAAAGCAAGACTCCGTCTCAAAAAAAAAAAAAAAAAAAAAAAAAAAAAAAGCATACCAGAACATAAAATCAGAAGGACAGCATGGGCCAAATATTAATTTCAGATTCAGTAGCATATAAGACAAAAAGCATGGCATGGGATAAGGAGAACCAAACTGTCATGACATTTTATGTACCAAGTTACATTGCATTTAAATACAGAAAGTAAAAACCTTCAGAAATTTGAGTGAGTTTGGTGAACATACCCTTCTAATTGAAGATTATAATTTATTTCTCACAATCTTAATAGACCAAATAGGCAAAAAAAGCAGGCAATAACTATTCTAAATATATTATTAATAACACAATATATTAAACACAATATATTATTGTGTTTGGGTGTGTATGTATGCATGGAGAGAGAGAGAGAAAGTGAGAAGGGCAAGTATGAATATATACAATAAAACCTTGAATTGTATGAACAAAAACATGTCTTCCTTTGCAACATCCCTGGAATACACTGGTCAAATAATCAACCATCAAAATATCTACACAAAATCTACCAACAAAAAGCAAAGGCAGAGAGAATTGTGAAGACCGCATTCTCTGACCCCAATGCAATTCAACTAAAAATTAGCAGGGAACGGTTTTGTTTTTAACTATAAAATTTTCCAGTACAGATCTTTCAGAAAGGTACAAAGAAGACTTGCATGAATAGAGAGACATGTATCTTATCCTTGTGTGCAAGACTTAATATGGCACTTATATGAATTCAGCCCAAACTGACCTCTGAAGACAATATGATTTAATTCCAAATACAAATGAGCATTTTATCTTTTCAACTTTCAAAAAAATATTGCAAAATTTACGAGGAAGGTTTCATTCATGAATGGACAGGGAAATAGTGAAAAGAAGTCAACCGAGGAGATGTTTGCCCCAGCAGATATGAAAACATGTTAGGAAGCTATCATATACGAAAGAGCGCTGGTGGCGCCAAACTGGAGCACCCAGGGAAGGTGGAGCCAGGCCTGCGTGCGACACTCGTTGGTGACCAGGGCACTGCTCCGGGTGGTGAGTAAAGATGGTTTTGTTCCAATGCCATTGAATCAAAATGAACAGAAAAAAGAAAAATTAACTTAAAAATAAGCCCGCCCTGCCCTGCTCTGGGCACCCTTATCTGGAGTGGCTGCACCCCTCCCTCCCTCACTTATAAATGAGTATACATAAATCTTGATATGGGGAATGCCTTCCAAAAGAAAAAAGAAAAAAACCACCAAGGAATAACAAATTTGACTACATAAACATCTTAAACTTCTACTGGTTTAAACAGATGGAATAAATGAAATGAAAAATAAAAACAAAGTGAAAAACAGATAATGAATTTGAGAAAATAATTGCGATCTATGTACCCAGGTAAAGGGTTAATATCCTTGGCATATAAATAATCAAGGAAATGTTAACATACAAATCGAAAAATGAGCAAAGACTACGAACAGACAATTTTCAATAGAAGAAATACAAATACCAAAAGGCATTTGAAAAACTGTTCGGCCTCATTAGTATTCATGTACATGCAAATTAAAACAACAAGCTACCATTTTTCACCTATAAAATTGGCACTTCATTATTACTATTATTATATTCAGTGTTAGCAAGAGTGTGGGAACATGGGCATTTGTACTTTCTTGCTGGAAACAGAAAGTGGTATTCACTTTTTAGAGGGCAATTTCATTTTCCATATTCATTTTGCATACCTTTTCACCCACCTGTTCTTGTAGAAATTTGTCCTAAGAAAAGAATTAGCTACAGGGCTGTTTACTGCAGTATTTTTTGTAATGGCAAAAAAAAAAAAAAAAAAACCCTAAATGTCAGCAGATAAGCAATCACTTGTTGTATAAATCATGTATTTTTATACAATGGAATTCTATGCAGCCATCAATAATGGTGTTATACAAGTACATGTATCAGCATTGCATTGTTAAGTGAAAAGAGCAAGTGATAAAATAATAGATGCCAAAAAAATCAATTTTTATAAGAAAAGTAAGAAAGGAGGAACAGTAAAATATTAGCACTGATTGCCCATGGCTGGTGAGATCCTGGGTGATTTTTATTTCTTACCTTGTGGTTATTTTCATTTAGAAATTGTTCTACAATAAACATACATTAATTGTGAAATAAAAATAAGTGCTTTAAAGAGTGAATAGGGGATTGAGTAAATTATAATACAATCCTACAGTCACAAACCAACAGCCAGTAAAATCTGTGTGGCAGAATTATATTCACTGATATGAAAAGATGGTCGTCGTTCACCGTTAAATGAAAATAGTACCTTACAAAATAGCGTGTGCATTATCATCTCTTTTTTGTTTGAAAATGAAAAATACATCTATTTATATGTATAGAAAAATGACAGAAGATTATAAAATGAAATATTAGGAACAGTTATCTCTGGATGGTGCAATGGAGTGATTTTTGTTTTTTTTTCTTCGTGCATTTCTGCATTGTCCAGGTTTTCTGCAGCTATAATGCGTTAATTTTATCATTAGAAATTATTATTATTATTATTTTTGAGACAGAGTCTCACTCCATCACCCAGGCTGGAGTGCAGTGATGTGATCTAATCTCACTGCAACCTCTGCCTCCTGGGTTCAAGCAATTCTCCTTCCTCAGCCTCCTGAGTAGCTGGGATTACATGCGTGTGCCACCACGCCAAGATAATTTTTGTATTTTTAGTAGAGATGGGGTTTCACCATGTTGGCCAGGCAGGTCTCGAACTCCTAACCTCAGGTGATCCTCCCGCCTCAGCCTCCCAAAGTGCTGGAATTGCAGGTGTGAGCCACCATGCCCGGCCAAAATTATATACATATATTTAAGAAAATGTTCACACCCTTGCATCTCATAGTTCCACTTCTAAGGTTTTTGTCCTGGGGAAGTAACACATCCCTGTGCTTCTCATTCAGGGGGATATTGTCCCCCTGGGGAACTGGCCATGTCTGGGCATTTCTGGTTGTCACATTGGGGGTGAAGCCACTACTGATATTTAGTGAATACAGGCCAAGGATGCTGCTAAACAACCTACAATGCACTGGACAGCCCCACAACAAACATCATCTCGCCCCAAATATCAGTACTGCTGAGGCTGAGACCTACCTAGAACCATCATTTCCTCTTCTGCTTCTTAAAGAACAAACATCTGCCCTGCTCTGCAGACTCACATTCAGAAAAGCTCAGAAGCTGAAGGCTCCTAAAAAGGATGTCCAAGCTTTACCTTCATCCACAAAGAGCCTGCGAGGAGCTCTTCCAGAGAAGAGAAAGGGGAAGATCTGAGTCCTCAATGACGTGGCGGCTGAAGTAACTGGCCTAAAACAGCTCTGCCCTTTGACTTCTCATGTAAAATCATAAGTTCTTGTATTGTTTAAGCCACAGGGGCTGGAGTCCTTTTACTTGCAGCCTAGCACATAACAGCAGTCCAACCATGAGAGCAAAGGTGATGGGAGACCCCAGAAAACTTGTAAGGGTCAAATAAAATAACACGAAAGCCTTCTAACACGAAGTGCAAACGCAGGAGTGAGGGTGAGGGCCAGTTTTCTCCAGCCTGACAGACTCCTCAGCTACATCTGCCTCTGCTTGGGACCAGCGGGTTTCAAACTACGCTCTGCAGGGCTTCCTTCCCTCTATTCCAAATATTCTTTCCTTCTTATGCTTGTAGGAGACCTGCTCATCCCTCAAGCCCAGCTCAAATGCCCTTCCATCCAGGAAGTCTGCCTGATGCCTGATTCTTCACTTCACTCCCTCTTTGTGGGAGAAGGGAAGAGGGGAGAGTGCCTTCACCTGTACAGGAGCGGTTGCAGCACATGAAGTGGAAACATGGTGTTGGCATTTTTATTTTTATGTGGAAATGTAAATACCATAGTCCCTTCTTATCTGCAGTTTTTGCTTTTCATGATTTCAGTTACCTGTGGTCAACTGCCATCCAAAAATATTGATATATATTTTCAGAGAGAGAGAGAAACCACATTCACACTACTTTTATTAGAGTATATTGTTATAATTGTTCAATTTTATTATTAGTCATTGTTGTTAATCTCTTACTGTGTCTAATTTATAAATTAAAATTTACCATAAGAATATATGTTAGGAAAAAACGTAGTGTACATAGGGTTTGGTACCATTTGTGGTTTCAGGCATCCACTGGGTCTTGGAAAGCATCCCCCATGGATAAGGGGGTGGACTACAGTGGGGCTAAGAGGGTGGAATGGATGCTGCGGAGTCCAAGAGGTAGACTGTGCTGGGAGGTGCATGCACCATCAACCCTGCTCTGGCCCTCCGTGCTCTCTTCCACGTGGCTGGGAGGCTAGAAGCCTGCAGACTATGTCCTGGGCTCTTGCAAGCTGGCTACTGATTAGGAAGAAGAATGGAAGGAAGTCGTGGCAGCAGCTGCAGCTGTCACAGGCCTGTCCCCCACAGGGGATGAGTTCCTCAAAGGTAAAAGATTTATCTTCCATGTCTGTATTCTTCTCATCCTTTCCTCTTTACCATTACCCCACCCCACCTCCCTCCACACACAACACAAGCACAGCTTTTGGCATATAGTAGACATCTTGAAATAGATGAAAAAGTGATTAATATGGAAGAGTGCATGCTTTGTTTGTGGGACTGTTAATTGCTATGCCATTCTAAATGGTATTTTGACAGTAGCTACCAAAATATGAAATCTATATTCCCTTTGACCCAGCAATTCCATTTCTAGGAATCTTTCTGTTTGCCCATGCATAGGGGATATATGTACAAACATGTCCCCTGAAGCCAGACCTCAGCATGGTTGTCTTCTTGTCGGTTATATGTCAGTTCCAATGTCACCTCTTTGGGGAACCTTCCCTGACCATCCTGCTAAAGGACCCCTGACCCTGTCATACTCAGTAGCAGTCTGTATCCAGTCAGGAAATTAAGATGCCGTAGGTAAAACTGGGAACAGGGATTTTTTATTGTTGTGGTTGGGGTTTTTTTGTTGTTGTTTTTGAAACAGAGTCTTGCTCTGTCATCCAGGCTAGAGTGTGGTGGTGCGATCATAGCTTACTGCAGCCTCAACCTCCCAGGCTTAAGAGATCCTCCCACCTCAGCCTCCCAAGTAGCTGGAGCTACAGGTGTGTGTCACCGTGCTTGGCTAACTTTGTGTAGTTTTTGTACAGATAGGGTCTCACCATGTTGCCCAGGCTGGTCGTAAACTCCTGAGCTCAAGCAGTCTTTCCTGCCTCAGCCTCCCAAAGTGCTGGGAATACAGGTGTCAGCCACTGTGCCCAGCCAGGAACAGGGATTTATATAGCAAATTCATTAGAAAAGCACTGGAAGGGTTGGGCTACAAAGAAGGAAAGAAGGTAAGTTTACCCAAATACTTATAATGGCAGGAAGAGTCTACCATCCAGGGTTGGAGGGAAAGAGAAAGTGGGGCTACCTGGGGCCCATGATGGCTGGGTTGCTGTGGCTGCTGCAGGACTTGCTGCTGCTGTTGCTGTGTGTTCATCCCTCCTACCACCTCTGTGCAGGAGGCAGGGTCCACACTGCCCTGGACACAAGAATCCAGGCCCATGAGCACTGTGCTGCTGAGGCCACTGCCGAACCCACTGCTGATGTGCCCTTCCAATTCCACGGACAGTTCCAATGGCCCATATAACCAGGAGGGCTGGGCTGGAGCCCAGGAGCTGTGTCTGTGGCCCCATGCTACATCTGCTGCTTCCCATCTCCATTCCATTCTCCTTCTAGGGCTTTCCATTTGCTGAATCTAACAAGGAGCCAGCTTATAAGAAGCCCCAGAGTTTGCAGGCATCCAGCCTCCCAGCCACATGAAGGGCTAGAGCAGGGCTGACGTCTACAGTTGAGTCACTATCACAGTCCCCATCCTCAGCACCATGCCATTCTCACCTTTTACACTTCTTCACGCTTCCATACAAAAGCAGCAAAGACAGGAGCATGCTTACAATAATCCCTTGCACAAACCAAGACATTCCTGCCCCTGGATGGAAAAGGGGGTCAGATCATCTTTAGGCAGCCTTCCAGTTCAGTCACCATCTAACCCGAATATTCTTTGGCACAAGGCTAATTTTAAGTTAGACATCACAAACATGCCTTATATAAAAGAGCAGGGGACAAAGAAATAACTTGTAAATATATATGAATAAAGACATAGCAAGCGAAGGAAAGTGGCATGACCATCCTTGATGCTGTACCTGACTGTGTGGCCAGAGTGACCTTTCATCACCTCCTCCTCCTGCTGTCTGTTTCAAGCTCTCTTTCATTTCAGCCAGCCCTTCTGTTGTGGTTCTTTATTGATGGGGTGACTCCCATTCCTTCCTGAAGGACCTGCACTCTCCGTGGTCCTGACGTTATTGGGTTGCAGTAGTCTTCCACTAACTTTTATTACTAGACATAGAACTAATAAGAAGTCCTCCAGAGAGTGCCCTCGGTTCCAACATAAGCTTCCCCATCCTTACCAGCAGTACACCTACTTCCCCTTGATGAGCAGGACCAATCATCTCAGCCAATAGAAAAGTCCTCTTCTTTACCTGTTGACTCAGAGGCATAAAGAACTCATCACCCTGGGGGTGGCCTTGACTTCCAGTCCATTGGAACCACTGCTGTGGCCCCTGCTGGAAGCATTTCTCCCTTGGGAAATAGTGTCTAAACCAGCAGTGCCTAAAACTGTGGAGATGAAAAGCAACAGTTTCACCAACACATGCCTGGGCCTGGAGGAGCTGCTCCCATATCTACCCTTCATTCCTGGACCCATGATTCTGCCTGTGGGAAAAGCAGCACAATTGATTGGGCACAGTTTCAAAGTGCAGACCAGAATCTATGGGACAACACCCTGCCTTTGCAGGGTGCATTCTTCTTGCTGGCCCCACAGTTGAGTCTTCAGTGCACAATTCCAATAGTTCACATTAGGCACTGGCAAACTTTGGCCCATGGCCAAATCTGGCCTGTTGCCTATTTTTGTAAATAAAGCTTTATTGACATACAGCCAGGCCCATTCTCTTCTACATCGTCACTGGCCACTTTCACACTATGACAGCAGAATTGTGCAGTTGTGACAGAGACCGTATGTCCCATAAGGCCTAAAATACTAAAATTTACTATCTGGCCCTTTGGAGAAAGTTGGCTGACCCTTGATCCGTAATCTCAGCTGATTCTGGGTAACAATATAGGTAGCAAACGAGTAAAATCTAGAGCTGTGAGTCCATTGCTGCACATATTTTACATAAAATAAGTCCCTTGGTCAGAAGAAATGTTGTTCAGGATACCACAATGGTGAATAAAGCATTTTTATAAGTCTGCAGGTAATGTGGTTGGCAGAAGTCTTGAAAGCAGAGATGGCAAATCCATCTCCAGAAGAAGTATCTATTTCATTGAGGATGATAGGTAGAGTCCTACATAGTTAATCTGCCAGCAGGTGGCTAGCTAGTCCCCACACAGCATGGTGCCACATCCATGACTTAATGCTAGTCTTTTTTGTTGATAGGTTGAGCATTTACTAGGAGCAATAGCCAGATATGCATCAGTGAGGAAAGTCCATGTTTCTTGGCCCATGTATAGCTTCCTTATATACTGCCTCCATGAGAAAGAGCTAGAGTCTGCAGAAAGAGGTTGGCTGACATTCACAGAACATGTCATGTTCCTGACGACTAGGAACCCCTTCTCCTTTTGGAGAGCAATCACTTGGGAAACATAAATATTCCCACAGTCTCTGTGCCTATTTTGAGATTTCCGCCCACATATCTCCTCCCCAGAGCTCTTAGCCACCAGTCCTAAAATCTTGTTCTTTCCAAGTCCCAAAGCATTAGCCACTGCCATGAATAAGTAGAGATTCATACCCCTGACCATATCTCTATCCAATCAATGGGACATAGTTTCTAGGGTGTGCTGTGGCCCTCCAGTTCTGGTGGTGCTGCCATAATGTGCAGAAGTACTTGTAAAGCAGGGGCAACTTCCTCCAGCAACTAGTCATAGGAAAACCCAATGAAGCCCTAAATTGTCTTCTCCTGGGCCAAATTTCAGACTTGCTTCCTGGGCATACTGGGCTCTGAAGGCAAGGGGGGCATAGGGGTAAATTTTGAGAAGAATTGGCATCTTCTTGCAAAACTGACCCATGTGAGCTCATTACGAGGTTTTCAAGAAAGGGAAGACTCATCTCTCCAGACAGGAAGAAAAGCTGTTTTTCAGATTCATGCCCTTGTTCCAACTCTCAGATTTCCCCTCCTTTCCCATCAGTGCCCTGGCATCTCCACAACAGACCTGTCGTGGCTGGGAATTCAATTTATGCTGTAACTCTGCAACCCCATCATCAAATTTGGAGTCTTATTTTCAGCTATATCAGCCCTGTAGCTACAAAGGAGGGAGATTGTTTCAGGGACATCACAGAAGCTTGCTAATTCTTTGACCATATCATAAGATGAGATTTAAAAGCCCTGAGTGTGTCATTTTGTTTCTGTAAGCTTCCCATTGCAGTCAGACACAGTCAGTTGCAGAATTCTTACAGTCATCACTCCCCTGTCTAGCCAGTCACAACAGCAGAGTAGCTTCCCAAAGCACTGCCTTCAGTTAGGACTCCCTCCCAGGAAATCACATCCATTATCTGAAGGTCATTTGATGATGCATTTGTTTACTTGTGGATTGCTTCCTCAACCTCTGACATAATGTAAGTGCTTTGAGAGCAATGGCCCATCTGTAATTTCTAGCCCAACGTAGAACCAGGTACACAGTAGGAAATACATACATGCAGAAGCCCACCCTAAGCTGGTTTATGGAGGGAAGAAGACATATGGGCTCACGTGACCAGGAGAACACGGATGAGCCCACCTGGAGTCTGTTGGAACCAGAATCTGAGAAGCCCAGGGTGCTCTCCTGGACACCCTTTCTTACCTCTTCAGCTCACACAAGGTGGGAGGCAAGCCTGCTGGCAGCCTTGGGGGTCCTTCTGACAAAAGGGAGCTTGCCTCCACGTGGAGGGTTTCAGAAGGGACTCTGATTGACCCAGCTAAAGCCACACAACCCTGCTGGAGCCCATCCTTGAAGCAGTAGATTATGCCATGTCTGAGTCAGAGGCCCATCCCCTCTGAGGCCAGGGCCCAGGTCCCACAGAACCTGGTAGAATCACCCTCCTTGCATCTGGGTGGGGCTCCTTTGGCCTAAGCTGGACTTGCTTATTCTCCTGTGGGCTGCAGCGTTGGTGACTGAGAGTGAAGCGACATAGTCTCGCTCCATGTGTCTCTCGTCCTCCAGCAGGCTAGCCCGGGCTGGCTCCCACAGAAGCTGGACAGTCTCAAAAGCAAGTATGGAGATGGACAGGGCCTCTTGTGGCCTAGGCTGGAGCCAGCACTGTCTGCTGGCTGAAGCAAGCCCCAGGACAGCCCAGAGCCAGGGGGTGGGCCAGCATTGCACGGGAGGCGCTGCACCACAGGGCACAGGTGCGAGGAGAGGAACTTGGGCTCTTTTACCAAGCAATCTACTGCAAGTTCTAAATATCTGGGAAATAAAGAGGACATTCTCTACATAAAGCATTTACATCATAATTTTAGCAAAATGTTTTTAGTTTCATTTTGATCAAGAACATGACTGAGGGCCAGATCTCGCTCAGGGCTGCCAGCTCGAGCCCTCTGCAAGACACAGTTAATGAATGTTTTCGAGCGAAAAATGAATGAAACACTTCGCACTTTAAAAGATGCTGGAGACTTCTGGTACTGGTAACTTGGCAGACTAAATAACCTGAAAATTCCCCTGCTGCAAACATATAGAAATAGTAGATAAAATATAACAAATATTCCTTTAAAGGCAGGAAACTGATAAAAGAAAAAAAATGGAGGTAGGGAAATGCCAAGATCTAGAAACCAGAAGAAAACTGAACACTGGAACAACAAACAAAGGAGCAGAAGGAACAGCCTCTGAGTGGTGTTGGTGGGGGCTTGGGCATGTGAGGAGCTCCGATCCTGACGTCCCTGCAGGAACAAGAGCAGAAGCCTTGGCCTTGGACAACATGAGGATGAAACTAACACCACCTCTCAGGTGAGAGACTGAATCTACAGGCAAACAATGGCTAGACAATATATAAAAATAGAGGCTCCAACCCACAATCTGCAGCAACCAGCCAGGAAGCCAGGCTGCTCTGCAAGTCAGACTCTAGGAAGTCAGACCACATTCTCCAGCAAGCAGCCCAGGGAACCAAAGAATAAGGCCTGTAATAATCTCCCCAAAATGGCCAGGACTTGATTAATCACTGACAGCTTCCCAAATTTGTATCCCTGTTTCCAGCTTAGGACCAACCAGAAAAAGCCAAATATGCCCTCCCAGCGAACTACATAGGATGCTCTGTTTCTAGTCAGCCCTTCCACAGCTTCTCTGTGCCAACAGCCTCCCACCAGGGCACACTGGGCCTTCCCCCTTTTCCGCCGTAAAGCTTCCCACTTCACACTTCCCACTGTCTGCCTTTGAGTCTCTGTCAAAACATAAGTGATGGAGATGGCTCCCTTGCCATGGTGAGCTCCAAATGGATAGCCTTTGCTTCTTCTCATCTGATGGATGTTCATTTACTTCCACTTCAGAAAAACTCTCCATAAAGACTAAACTAACTCCAGATATTTATCTCTACATATGTGACCAAAATAACTCTCTTCCAGTAATGCAAGGGTGTTTGCATTAGAAACAACTCCTGACTTATTTATTCTCAACAGAATAAATCGAAGGAAATTGAAAGAAAAAATGTAAGACCATCTGCATAGATGTAGTCACTTAATATGATTTAATGTCCATTCATGACCAAGACTCTTAACAAAATAAGAATAAAAAGAACTCATTAGCATAATACAAAGTGTAAAAAAAAACCCACTACAAAGTCATGATTAACGATGAAATAGTAGAGGCATTCCAGGAAAAGTCAGGAGCATGACAAAGACACCCCCTACTACCACAGCTTTTCAAGCTGTACTAAAAGTCTTAGCAGTAAGACAAGAGAAAGAAACTTAATGTATGAAGACTAGAAAAGAAGAAAAAAAAAATTTCATTATTCACCAATTATAAGATTCTAAACTGAAAGTCCCAGACAGTCCAGAAACAACCCAGTGCAACTAACTCAAGAGTTGAGCAAAGTGGATGGACGCAGGATCAAAATACAAAAATGAATTATATCCCTGTACTGAAGCAACAGATGGTTTTTAATTTTAAAAAGATACCAATAATAAATAGCAATAAATTAATAGAATTAGGAAGAAATCTAACAAAAGATATATATAATCTTTGTGCAGAAATAATAAGACTTTATGGAAAATCATAAAAGAAGACCAGAGTAAATTAGACAGATATGCCATGTTCATGGGTGAGAAGACTCAATATCATAAAGATGGCAATTGTCTCAAATTGATCTATAAATTTAATTTAATCTCAACTAAATCCCAGTTTTAAGGAACATGACAAATGAATCCTAAAATTTAGGTGGATGAATAAAAGACTAAGAAAAGCTATGAAACTCCTGAACGAAAATGAAGGGGGACCCACCAAAATAGTTATTAAGATGGACTACAAAGCTTTAGTGACTGAAATAGTGAGCTGTTGGCACAGTAAGAAAATAAACCAAAGGGCAGAACAGAAGCCCTGACACTGGCTCAGACACAAAAGGAAAGAACTAGCACTTCAGAGCAGCAGGAACATGTGGTAGAAAACTAAAATAGTTCTCACTGCAGAAAAAAATAAAATAAAACTTTTAATTCAAACCTTACAATATCAAAAACCCTGGTATATGATAGAATTAGATAGTAAAGAAAAACTAGATGGCTTATAGAAAAAAATAGAATAATATCTTTATGACTTCAAGTGGGGAAAGACTTATTGAAGAAGACACAAAAATCACAAACTATAAAGGAAAAGATTGAGAACTTCAAGTACATTAAAATTTAAAACATCTGTAAGACAAAAGACATAATTATCAAAATGAAAAAACAAGCTGCAAACTGGGAAAGATATTTGCTTTGCACATAACTGATGGAAGATTATTATTCAGAATATGTAAAGAACTGCTACAAATCAGAGAAGAAATGCCAAGCAAGCCAACAAAGGAGTGGATAAAAGACATAGATGAGCAGCCTGCAGAAGGGGAGCGTGGGAGCCAGCTAGCATATGCAAGGTGCCGGGCATTGGTAGTAACCAGGGAGATGTGGATTAAAACACTTTACTTCCTTCAGTGCGTATTTATTGAGTGCCCATTGTAGACCAGGCATTTTTCTGCCATTTAAAAGTCTGGAAATAACAAGTGTTTGTGATAATGTAGAGAAATTAGAACTCTCTTATACTGTAGATAAGAGTTAAAATTACTGCCATCCTTTTGGCAATGTCTAAGTAGAGTTACTGATACCCCTACCCCATGACCGAGCAATTCCATGCTTGACTCACACATGTGACAAGGAGACATGCACAAAAATTGTCATTGCAGCATTGTTTACAGTAGAGAAAAATGAGAAGCATCCCAGACATCTACCAGCAAGACAATGAAGGCCACACTGTGGCCTGTTTATTCAATGGAATACTATGCTGCACTTAAAATGAATGAACTCCAGTTAAATCTTAAAACCAGCTTCAGCTAAGAAAAGCAAGTGGAGAATTCTACACATGATATATTATCATTTATGAAA
This sequence comes from Homo sapiens, assembly GCF_000001405.40. Classification (NCBI taxonomy): domain Eukaryota; kingdom Metazoa; phylum Chordata; class Mammalia; order Primates; family Hominidae; genus Homo; species Homo sapiens. Next base: position 127,118,027 of record NC_000003.12, on the reverse strand, counting down.
TTTTAAGCCATGTATATTAGTCCATTTTCAAACTACTATAAAGAAATGCCTGAGACTGGTAATTTATAAAGGAAAGAGGTTTAATTGACTCACAGTTCAGCATATCCGGGGAGACCTCAGGAAACTTACAATTGTGGTGAAAGGTGAAGAGGAAGCAAGACACCTTCTTCACAAGGCAGCAGGAAGGAGAAGTGCTGATGGAAGCAGGAAGAGCTCCTTGTAAAACCATCAGATCTTGTGAGAACTCACTATCACGAGAACAGCATGGGGGAAACCGCCCCCATGATTCAATTACCTCCACCTGTTCTCTCCCTTGACATGCGGGGATTGTGGGTATTATGGGTATTATAATTCAAGATGAGATTTGTTTGGGTGGGGACAAAAAGCCTAACCATATCACCTTGAAAGACAATACTATATGTTATTTAGAGATACAAAAACATATGTAGTAAAAGAATGAAGATATGCATAGAAATGACAAATGCCAAATTGAAGATGGTGGTTTTTGGGAAGAAGGAGGGAGGGGTAGTCAAATGGAGAAGAGATGCTCGGGATCTTTGGCTATATTAGTGATGTTTTCTTTAAATGACACACACACACACACACACACACACAAAAATAACTCTGAAACACACAGAGAGGCAGAATGCTGACAAAGCAGTGTGTTGTTTACATGAGTGTCTGTTGTTTTATTCTCAACACTTTTCTGTGTGCTTGAAATATTTTATAATTTCATACATTGTGAGTTACTTGTGAATGCCTGTGAGACTTCCTAGATGAATGTTGGGACTCTGGAATGTTTCTGGGAGCAGACACCTCTCCCTAGCATGCCCACAGCCCCATGGTCCACAGCAATGTCCATTAAACCGCCTTCCATAAGAGATTTATAGTTAACACTAGGACAAAAGGGGGAAAGAGTTTATATGGTCTAATTAGTGTCTAACTATAGGACATTGGATTCTTCTTACTGCAGGACTTTACTCAGAGACTTTAATAAGCTCATATAGAAGGTGAATCTCCAAGAAGGCGGAACACTTTCCAAACCTCTTAACGTAGAATCCAGTTCCTGCAGAACACAATGTGTGACTTCCTAGTCTGTGGACAAGCATGTCCTTACACTTTCCAAATGCCAGCCCTTGGCCTTCTGGGTGCACTGGGATTCAGAACACTGCAATCACAAATCCTGGAGCTATCAGGTTTCCACCCTGTCCCTTCACAATCCTGATTTGTATACACGTATTCTTAGCAAGCCCAAACTCCACCGACAGGCAAATGGGTAAAAAACTGGACCATCCATGCAATGAAACACCACTCAACAATCAAAAGGCATTGACTACTGATACACACAACAACAGGGTGGATCTCAAAATAACCATGCAAAGTGAAAGAGTCAGACAAAAAGAGAGCACATACTGTGTGTTTCCATTTACTAAGAATTTTAGAAAGTTCAAACTAATCTACAGTGACCAAAAGCAGATCGATGGTTGCCTGTGGATGCCGGGAAGGGCAGGAGAGAAAGATGATTAAAATGACAAAGGGGCCTACAGAGGCCTTGGGGTGCATTTGCTGTCTTGATGACAATGATGGCTTCTCAGAAATATAAAGTGTCACAACTTATTGGTTTGTACATGTTAAGTATGTAAAGCTTATTGCATGGCAATTATACTCCAATAAAACAATTTTTAAAGGAATTGTTAATTTGGGTAACGGCAAGGAGAAAGGAGTCCCCTTGACTTAGGGCCATTGGAGATCCATTGTCTAAACTCCATTACCTAGGATAGTGACTTATGCATGTTACTCACAAAGAGTTGTTAAATAAATGAGTAGGTAAACAAAGTAGTAGATGGGTGAATAGATCAATGGATTAGCCAAGACCTGAGCAAAAAACAACAGACTGACTCAGCTAAGGGCCCAGCTTGGGTCTAGATGGGATGGGACAGAGGTGAGGGTGGAGTCCAGGAACTCTGGGGCCTGCAGCTGTCCTGGAGCACAGTGGTTCAAGGTGGAGAGAGGCCTGGCTGGGCAAGGAGGAAAAGCACAGACCCCTAAGCAAAGCCAAGAGGTGAGACTGGAGACAGGAAGGATGCAAAGCTGAGCTGGGCATAACCCTGGGTGAGGGACCTGGTTAAGAGCCATGCGGTGGGCACCTGGGGTTCTGCTGCCCAGCACCATTCTGTCAACAGCACCCTGATCTTTCGGGGGGAAGGGTGCCACTGCTTTCATTTCATGTGGTGTAAAAAGGGCCAAGATCCCTTCTTGCCCCTGTCCCCACTCCTCTCCAAGGATGGGCAGTGGTCCAGACCTGAACTTCCAGGGTCACCCAATTGGTGCAGTGATGGGCACAGGACTCAGTGTAGACCAATGCAAGTCAGCCTGGGATTTAAGGGACCCTGCTTCCACTGTGGTTGGTGAGCTGTAGAATAGAGGCTGGAGCTTCCTGGGACCGCCAGGACTAAAGTGCGGTGAGCCTGCCTGAGAATGAAGCTGATGGAGAGGGAAGGGGAAAGCGGGGTGTGGAGAGCTCGTTCCTGATGGTGCCGTGCGCAAGGCTGGGCCCACTACACTGCCCAGACCTGCTCCAGACTTCTGCCACACACGCCAATCCAGCTGGCCCTTTACTTAAGTGAAGTTTGATTTCTTTCCCTGGCAGCCAGAAGAGCCCTGATTGACACAAGACCTCCAACCAGAATGGGACGATGAGGTACGGTCCATGGAGCAGCAAGGCCGGACCCCATACAGCATCTCACCTGCATTTACTCTCTGCATGGGGAGTCCAATTCCTGATCTTAAAAAGGAATCATTTCTGTCTGACCTTGGGCTTCATACAGGCAAAGAATCACTATCCCTATTTCAGAGAAGAGAAGGTTAAGGCCCAGAGAAACAACACATGTTCAGGCTTAGAGATGTAAACAGCACCATCCAAGGAGGTGTGCATTCCAAGATGCTTCCTTAATCACCTCCTCTGCTGAGATAAAGACCTCTAGGCTCTGCCTCCTGCACTCGTCTCTGAACCTGCCTCCCTCCTTGAGCCTATGAGCGCTCCCTCTGCCCTTCCTGACAGGGCACATCCAGGAGTGTGCTCAGACCCCCACTGCTTTCATGTGTAAGCCTCCTGAGGACATGAGCCCTTATCCTAGACCCCTCCCCAGGCTCTCATTGCTGACCAGGCCCAGGCCTTGTCCCTGCCTGTCTCAGAGTGGAGCCCACACCATGCAGGCAGGGAGAGGCAGGATTTGGTGGAAGCAGGGAGCCACATGCCTCACTGTCTACAGAGGACGTGAGCCTCCCTCCAGAGTCAGACTCAGGCCCACGAACTGGGCAGCAAGAACGACAGTGTGTGCCCTTCCTGGGCCCCCACCTAGGTCTGAACAGATGAAACCAAACCAGCTGCATGGCTGCTGGTGGCAGATGTAGTCTCTTCTAATGGACCAGCATCCTTGGGGAATTCAGTGCAGGATGCACTTAATAAAGTCATTATTCTGCCACCCAGCTGTGCAGGATGGGAGGATGACAGGGAGAAGCAGGACCTTATGCTGGCAGGTCTCCAGAGCAGGGACAGAAAACTGAGACAGCTAATTGCCAAAGCCACAGACTCTTCAAGCCCACAAATGGAACAGGGTCTGGGCCTGTGGAAGGAGATCTCCAGCACACAGGACTCATTAAATGGAGCAGGTACAGAGAATGAGCAACTGAGAAGCAGGTCTTTCCTGACTTTCCCTGCTCAATGCAGCTAGGTTCCCATCCCAATGCTGGGACAGGTTTCCCTGGCCTGAAAAGAAGTGGAGAGAAGGGACAACAGCCATGCTGAAGAATGCACAACCGCAGAACCCCTTTTTACTACTTAGCCCCTGTGGATGGCAAACCACACATGTAAAGTAAGAGTTCAGATTCGCTCAGAGAGGTGACATCAGTGAGAACGGCTGGGCGAGGACCTCCAAAATTTCTCTCTTCCTTCAAAGCAATGAGAATCCTGGCAAAAAAAACAGTCAGAATCAACATTTCAGAACGCTGCAAATTAACCAAGGGCTGGCAGCAATCTGAAGAGTGTTTAATCAAGAAAAAGGCTGACTCTCATGAAGAACAGTGAGCTTCGTGGCATTTTAACTTGTCCTATTCCATCCCTCCCTCCCCTGGCTGCTTCCAGATACCTCAAAATTCAACAGCCACAATCATGGTGAAAACCAGCAGTCCGCCCATCCCTGCAGGGGCAGGATAGGGTTGGAGCTGCTTCAAAGCCCCTTCCCAGAGGATTGTCATTATTTGACCTGTCTGGTGTTTCCCTGGAAGACCTCACTTACAAAACTGTCTTTGTTTGACCTGACTCATCTCACCCAGTGCAAACAGCCTGTCTCCTGGAATTATTTGCCAAAACCATCAAGGCAATTGTTGAATGTTGAGGCTTTCTGAGGCAGTAGATAACAGTTGACACAAATAATAAGTTAACCAAAAAGCTTAAAAGGAAAAGCTGAGAAATTAGATGTCCTTAGGGATAGGGACAGTGAACTGACATTCTTGGGAATCTAGAAGTCCGTGCAGGTGCATGGGGCTGTGTGTACATTCAGGCCTGGGCACATGCTCAAAAAAGACCTGAGAAGCCCAAGCTCTCACCTCTGGCTGACCTGAAGAATCTGTACAACATGAAGTGAAGGCTAAGGTGGAGGTGTGAACCGCCCAGCCAAGAGTTGAAAGTGTCTCCCCCACACACAGAGCCCATCAGCAAAGAGTAGGAGACATACTTGTTCCAGGAGTTTAGGAAATCTCTGTTCAAACATTAGCTGACCATTAAGCTAACAAAACGGAATGTCATAACCACATGTGACACGTTTGCATTGTACATTTTACTGAATTTAAGCAAGTGGAGGGTAATCATCTATATCACAGCGATACAATCAGCAATTAAGTATTGGACATGCCTCTTTTAAGAGTCATGGAGGTTGGAGGATGGTCACTGTCCCAGGGTCCATTGTGTCCCCTTCCATTCAACTCTGGCTGCAGCCATCTTGATGTTTGTCTCAAGCTTTGACACTGGCTCTTGATTAATTGCAGAAACAGTTGTGACAACTTACTGACTCAGACCCTGTGACACATGCCTTAAATGTTGGACTCATAGACTCTTCCATAAAGGGAAGGTTCAGACATCCCAGCTTGCCAAATGTGCACCAGATCTCCACTGGACACTCTCTGCCTCCCAGGAAACCAATGAGATTGTGACACCAATGTTTCTAACCCCACTGTCAATAGGTTTGAAAACAGTCATTGATATAACTTGCCCAAGAGCTAAACCCACCAATAAGTCAACCACAAAATCCCCCCAAAATGCAATGTTTCCCTTCTGCCAGATTTTTCTGTCCTTCTCAGAACATGGATGCTCAGGAGTTCTCCCCTGATAGCTACAGAATGCCCAGGACCCTCACCTTCTGAAGTGCAGCCCCTTCTTTTGTTCTCCTAGGAATGGCAATAGAATTTTGGCCAAAATTCAAATGGTCCGGGAATTCAAGGATGGTTCGATATTAAATGTTAATAGTATCATGTCAATAATTCAAAGAATATACATCTTTGAATCTACACAATTATCTAGCTAAAGGATTGGGACATATGTTCTGTAAAGAGCCAGATAATAAATATTTTGAGCTTTGTGAGCCACATGCCACCTTTGTTGCATATTGTGGGGTTTTTTGTTTTATTTGTTAACATCCCTTTAGATGTATAAGAGTCACTTTTAGCTCACAGGTTGCACAAATAGGCCACCCAGACTAGGCCCTTGGGGCCCTTGGACTGTCCATCCCTGATCTAGATAAATGTGCAAAAGGCATTTATAAAATCCAATACCCATTCTTAATACAACTGTTGAAAAGCTACACATAGAAAAAGGTCTTTCTTAACACAATACAACTTATCTATCTTAAAAACAAAAGTCATTCTTAATGTGAAGACTCTAGAGGCATTTTCAGAAATGAGACAAAGATGTCTGCTATTACTAACACTATTTTAAATTGCTCTGGAAATTCTAGTCAAAGCAATAAGACAGGAAAAGTAAATTTTGACAATTAGAAAAGAAGTAACTAAATTATTTTTGATAAAATCAACAACAAGTACTGGAAGTAACATGATATTTCCATAAGAGAATGTTGATGGAAAAAGCCAAACACTGTAAAATATTTGAAGAGGCCTATTCTGAGCCAAATATGAGGACCATGGCCCATAACACAGCCACAGGAGGTCCTGAGAACATGTGCCCAAGGTGGTTGGATTACAGATTGGTCTTATATATTTTAGGAGAACAGAAGTTACAGGCAAAGACCTAAATCAATGTGTGTAAGGTATATATTGGTTTGGTCCAGAAAGGCTGGTCATCTCAAAGTGGAGGCTTCCAGGTCATTAGTAGATTTAAAGATTTCCTGATTATCAGTTGGTTGAAAGAGTTGAGCTTTGTCTAAAGAGTTGAAGTTAGCAGAGAGAAATGCTTCAGTTAAGATAAGGCGTCTTGTGGAAGGCAAGTTTCTTGTCATGTAGATGAAGCCTCAGAGCAACAGGCCCCAGAGAGAATAGATGGGGAATGTCTCTTACCAGACTTGAAAAGGCATCAATCACTTGGAAAAGACCTAGTTAGGGAGTGAGATTCTCTACAGAATGCAAATATCCCCCACAAGAGAGGTTTTGTGGGACCATTTCAAAATATGTCAAAGAAATATATTTTGGGGTAAAATATTTTGATTTCCCTCAGGGCCTGCTGTTCGTCCTGTGATGTGATGCCAGAGTCAGGTTGGAATTTGATACCTTATTGCTACAAAGAGTCTGTTTGTCAGTCTTATGATCTCTATTTTAATGTTAATGCTGGTCAGCTGTGCCTAAACTCCAAAGCGGGGAGAGCATAACAAGGCAAATGTGACAGTCCCTCCCATCATGGCCTGAACTAGGTTTTCAGGTTTCTTTGGGATGCCCTTGGCCAAGAGGAGGGATCCATTCAGTCAGTTGGAGGGCTTAGAATTTTATTTTTGGTTTCCAATAGTCATACAAAATAAACATATAATAAAGTTATAAAATGTGTTTCAGAAAACTCCCCAAACTGTCAAATATCTAGGAATAATCTTTTTAAGAAATGTACATGAGCTATATGAAAAAAAATCTCAAAACTAAAATAAGTCATAAAATATTCCAGGATGAGAGGGGCAAATATTCTGTAGTTGTCAGTGCTCCCACAAATTAATTTGTAGATTGAATTCTATTTTTATAAAAATCACTTTTTTTACAATGTGATTCTCAAGTTTATTTGTGAGAGTAAATAAATTAGACTAGCCAAAATGCTTTGGGTAAAAACTAATAAGGGGATACCTGTTATGAAATGACATTTAAGAATGTGGCTTATAGAAAGATGAGAGGAATGAAGTACAAAGTCCAAAAAGAGACTTGTTAAATATAAGAATTTACTCTATGCTAAAAGTGACATTGAATTCAGCAGAAACAAATTATTGAACAAATGACATTGGAACAATTGGTTAACAATTTGAAGGAAAAAAAAAACGTAAGTTGCCTGTTCATCTCACACTGTACACAAGCATAAATTCTGGATGGATTAGGAGTTAATTGCATATGGGTTCCTCATGGTGGAGTGATGTAATTCACCACCTTCTTCCCTCACCCATCTCTGTGGATATGATCAAAGAAATATGGACCCAGGGGTGTCAATATCAGCCTTGGAAGCTCCCTGCACACCAGGAAGAGCCGCTTGAAATAGTTCATTCCCAGTTCCACTGTCCCTTCCTAAAAAGGATCTTGGCTCTCCTCAGGGAAGCACAGCTCTATCCACCCTTCCCAGCCATCACATTACCTCCCACACGAGAACCACATCTCAGCCTGCAGTGCAAATCCCCTCCCTGGCCCCCTGCTCTGGCTCCAGCCCATCTCTCCAACTTCATTCACTACCTCTCTTCCATGCAGACCTTACGAGAACTCTATACTTTATCCACATGAGGCTTCGTCTGTCATCCAAACATGCCCGTGTTTTTCCTGCCTCTGAGCTGATGCTATACACTCCTTTCCCCTTGGAATGCTCTGCTTCCTTCCGTCGGATATCAAAACATGGCTGTCTACCTCTCCAGTGCCACCTTTACTGTGAGGTTTTTTCTGAGCTCACACTGAAGAAATGACTCGCAACTTCACCTCCCTGGCATTTGTTTAGGACTGGATCTGCTACAGTATAGGACAGGATCTCTCTTCAAACTCACTTCTGCAAAGCAGGAAATATGTTGGCCCAAGAAACCGGAAACCCCAGGCCTGGCTTGATCCAGGTGTTTATACATCAGGAGGAACATCACAATCTCTTTCTAGGCTGGCTGTGTTCCCAAGCAAGCCCTCTACCAAGAGGCGGCAGGTGTGACTTCCTGAGCCCTGCATTCCTACCAATGAAAAGAGCTTCTCTTTCCTGACATTTCAAACAAATGTCCCAAAACTGCACCTCAGCAGCCTAGCTTAAGTCTTGTCCCCATCCTTGAACCCATCATCACGGGAATAGAAGGGGGAGGACGTTCTGATTGGCTAAGTCCATGTGATGTGGGTCCCTCCACACCTGGGGATAGAGACAGCCCCACCTACACCACAAAACCTGGGAGGGAAGAGTGGGTGATTCGGCAGGAAAATCAAGATGCTGACAAAGGAAAAGGAAAATTAATCACAGCTAGGGAAGAAAAAGAGAATAGTCCAGAACATTGGTCATTTCTCCCTTATGGCATGTTGTGATATGTTTTAACTACCTAGATCTTAGTTAGTTTCATCCCCTCCCCAGCGCCTGTCAGACTGGGGACTTATTTGGGGAATGGAATGCTTGGCTCTGCTGTGTTACTTAACCCAGCACAGTTTCTCTCCCAGGAAATAATCAGTGAATAGTGACCAGACCAAACCAGGCTAGATCAGAGCAGACTAGATCAGACCAGACCAGACTAGACTAGACCAGACCAGACCAGACCAGGACAAACCAGACCAGACCAGGCCAGACTAGACTAGACCAGACCAGGCCAGACCAGACTAGACCAAACCAGACCACAGCAGACCAGACCAGACCAGACCAGACCAGACCTGAGCAGAACAGACAAGATTAGACCAGACCAGACCAGACTGGACTAAACCAGATCAGACCAGACTAGACCAGACCAGACCAGACCAGGCTAGATCAGACCAGACCATACTAAACCAGATTAGACCAGAGCAGGCCGGACTAGACTAGACCAGACCAGAACAGGCTAGACCAGAATAGAACAGACCAGACCAGACCAGACCAGATTAGACCAGATTAGAGCCCCTTCTACTTAGCTCTTAGGGCCTGTGATAAGGTGCAGGACCCAGGGCCAGGTCAGACCCTAAAAACAACCTACTCAAGAGGTCAGTTCTCCGTAACATGATTGTTACGCATTGCATGCCTGTATCAAAACATCTCATGTACTCCATAAATATATACACCTACAATGTACCCACAAACATTTTAAAAAATTCTTTTAAAAATTAAAATAAATAAAACAAAACAAGAGATTGGTAGAACACCAACAAATAAGAGGTCAGAACCCCTAGTCCAAAGCCACAAATGGATTCCCCCCATAATGTGTTTCATTTGGCCCACATAATGCTGTCATCATCATCATCATTATTGAACTATTGCTAATATTTACAAATTAGATTTTACCCCCAAATCTAGTTTTCTAACTTCTCCAGAAACAGAAAGTCCTGGAAAAACTGAGCCCACATTTCCCCATGAAAGCATCGGCCTCAGCTGGGCAGCTACTGCCCCTCTGCGGGCCATACTCTCCCTTTCAGCCCAGCCCCCGCTGCTCACTGCTGTCTGGAACCAGCCTGCTTCACTGGTCCCCGCCAGCCCCCATGGGCATGTGAGGTGGGGCTTCCTGCTGAAATCAAAAGATGGATGACAGACCCAGTAGCTCTGCTACTTCCCACTCATCATTTCAACCCCCTCTGGAAACACTCACATGTAGACCAACCCAGGTGGAACATGAGACACCTGCGAAAACGTGAGTTGCAGGAGAAAGTGTGAGCCCAGAATCCAGCCTCAAAGGCATCAGGAAAAGGCCCAGGAGCCAGGGATGGCCCAGGATCTCCACTCCATTTGCCTCTGCTTGGGCGCACCTCTTGCGGACACATTCACCTGCCTCTAAGGCACAAGCCAGGTCATCGCCCTGCAGGGAAACCTCTTCCTCTCCTGTCACTGTCCAGAGCCATCCTTTCTCCACCTCTGGCTGAGCAGGTCTGGGAGGTGGGAGTGCATGGGGTGACAAGGGGCTTTCTCCACCCAGTGCACTCTGTGTAGAAGGCCCACAGACAGCTGTCACTTCATCAAAAGCCTCACACCTCTCCTTCCATGGACCCAACCCCATTTTCTCCCACAAACAGCCCCTGCTCACCCAAGACCCTGGGCAGGCAGCGGCATGGGACCCTACCCTCCTGGAAGGTGGAGGCTGCTGTTATTAGTGAGTGTGCAAGGGACTTTTCTGCTGGAAAGGGTGCCAGGCCCAGTTGACTTAAGCCCAAGCCTCCTGACCCCAGACCCTTCCCAACTGAAGTCCCCTCACCCACTGGCTGACAGCCTGCGGGTCAACAAAAGGTTTGAGAATTATCCCCTGACAGTACCTTCAGCTTCACAGACACATTACAGAGCAACAGGGAGAGCCTCCTCGTGTGCAGATTTCATGATTTCTCACCCTTGTTGATGACAATCTCATTTAACCCTCACAACAGCCCTGGACGACAGGCACAACCATTACCCTCATCGGCAGATGAAGCTGGGCCTCACAGAGAGGTGCACCGCTTCCCAGGCACAGGTGGGGCCTTCTCCTCCACCCCCAGGCGGGGGCCCCAGCCCACGGCCCTGACTGTGTTCAAGCCTTCATTCATTCAAGCGTCTGTCAGCCATATCAGCGCTGTCCACGGGAATGTCATGAGAGCCACACACATGATTTTAAATGTTTTGCAAGCCACATTTTTAAAAAGTAAAAAGGTACAGGTGAAATTAATTTTCAATATATATTTTATTTTACTGAATATATCTAAAATGTTAGCACTCCATTATGTATTCGATACAAAAATGATCAAAGAGGTCTTTTCTGTTCTTTTTGGGGGACTACGCCTTTGACATGGGGCCTGCACTGAATGCTCACCGCACATCCCCGCTCTGGCTGCCCACAGAGGACTCAGTTTCTGTGTGGCTGGTGGCAGCCCGGGATCCCCCCTTGTGCCCAGCAGGCCTGGAGGTCACTGGCTCAGAGGGATGCAGTGAGGGGTGAACGATTCCTGGGCACTCGTGGCTCCGGGTTCCCCGTTTCCATCTCTGCTACTCCTCTGCAGCCTCGGTTGCAGGGTGCAGGGTACTGGGTTGGAGAGGCTTCTGTGAGCAGCTCTTCTCTCCTGTCTCCTGGGCAGGCCCATCCCCTCCTCTCAGGTAGACACATTGGCATACAATCGAGCTGCTTTCCCACCTGGGAGTCACAGTTCTGAGCTTCGTGGATGGGACCTGTTCCTTTTTCTTACAGGAGCAGTAGAAAGTTCGGCCTTCTGAACACTTGAAGTTGAATGGGCGCTGGTTTTTGGCAAAAGGACATTGTGATCCCCTCAAGGGCATGGCACGGATGTAGCAGGGACCCCACATCTGGGGCCACACCTAGTCTTTTGTTTCTAAACTGCCCTGCCAAGAGAGAGAGGGCCCCTGGGACTGGGGTGAGCATAGACTGGGCAGGCAAACTCAGGCTGGGGCCTTGGGGTGACTTTGTGGGCAGATGGAGCCCCCCGAGGCCTGTGCTTGGAGCCCAGAGGCACCGCCTGCCCTGGGGACTTCATGCAGCCCTGGACGCCTACTCACAGGGTGGGAGTGTTACAGCCCCAGGCCCTGATCCCAACCACCTCACCCCAACCCTAAGTCCATCCCACAAAACCGTTTCTCAAACCACTGCCATCCAGCTACTACCAACAGGACACGTGCCGCATCCACATACCCACATACCATGATCAGCTTCCTCATTCTTCTTCTCTGTTTACCTGAGGAACAATAGCCCAGAAACCCTAACTTCACAATGTTAGTCACTGTTCCCTGAGATCTATGAACTCAATGCAGAGCTACTGAAATAGATCATCAGGGTCCACCCCAAGCCACCCTGAGTTCCCAAGAGGTACACCCTGCAATGATCCTGCCAACCTCCAGGGAGCAGAGCAGGGGGCTCGCAGGAACTGTTGATGTGGAGCCCGGCCCACCCCTCTCTAAGATGACGTCTCCCCAGCCCCACTGCCTGGCTCCTGGCCTTGCTCACCAAACCCAGTGCCTTCCAGTCCCAGCTCCTCTTACTTCCAGAACTCCTAGATTTGTTTCTTGTTTGCCATCTTATCCTGCCCCCAGCTCTGCCCCGTGCAGGGTTTGCTGGAGGCAGAGCCTGAGGAAGATTCAGGCAGACCTGTCTTCTGAGTGAGGCTCTCAGGAGAAGGAAGGAAGGGATTAAGGTGGGGCTGGGAAGGAGCTAAGCAGAGCTGTGGTATCAGCTGGAGATTGGAGCTTCCCGGGAGCTCTGAGTTGCAGCACCGAGCTGTCCCTACCATGAGGGCCATGTCACCAGTCATTGGCCATGGGGCTTCTGGGGCTGGGGCAGCCTCCATTGGGTTTCATTCTCCTGAAAAGGAACTTCCCTGAGTTACTCACAGCAGCCAACCCCCAAAAATGCCTCATCACCCAGTCCTGAGCGGTCCCCTCCTCAAGTTGACCCCACCAAGCCTCCCCCTTGAACTCTCCTCCACCTTCATCCCTCAGAGTCCAGACACCACTTTGGCCCCAGGCATCTTTGGGGTCTGTGCTGGCTGGAGCCTGATGTGTGAGCTGTTTAGCCCTGGTTTCTGTTTTATACTGGAGAAGAGGAGGCTGGGGACAGTCCCAGGACAAAGCCTCCATGCAGAAGGACCCAGGACAGGAAAAGGTGGAGTGCGGCCCTCTAGCCCGCCCAGCCTGGGCATAACCAGCTATTGGGTTAGAGCAAATGAGTGGTTTAAATATTTGGCCCTGCTGGCACTGGGAAGTGTGTGTGTCCACGGAAAGCTACATGGTAAACCCACAAAGGCTGTGGGGACCACGCAGAGAATGCTTTGCCATTGAGGGCTGCTAAGCGGGGAGCAAAAAAGCCCTACCTGCCTGAGGAGAACTCTAGCATTTTCTGACCTGCACCTGAACCCACAAATGGCAACCCAGCACCGGTGAGAGGCCACCTGGCACAGCGCCCTCATGTGTAGCCAGTGTCTGAGGGTTCAGGGCAAAGCAGGCACAGGACTGTGGATGGGATGGCTGGGCAGCAGCCACCTACGTAAGAAAAAAAGCGAAAGAAAAGTCATCACTTCCATCAGGCAGTGGCCAGGCCAGTTGAGTTTAGTGAATAAAAGAAGGTTTTTACCTTAAGCATCAATGTTTGTGTTTCTTTCAACATTTTTCTATATTGTGGTTTTAATTACCTTGCTTTTTCAAAAGCCGTAATGATTGAATTAGTCATTGTCATTTTGTTTGCATGTGACAGAATCCCCACTTGAACTTGCTCCGGAAAGAGGATGGCTGTTAGATTGAGGACATTAGGCTGAGTGCAATGAGGCAGCCTCCAAAGGACAAACAATGCCCAGCTCCACTGTACGAAGCACTAGTGTAGCCAAACTCACAGGGACACACAGTGGAAGAGTGGGTGCCAGGGGCTGGGAGGAGGGCATGGGGAGTTTAATGGAGACAGAGGTTCATGTTTGCAAGATGAAAAGAGTTATGGAGCTGAACAGTGGTGATGTTTGCACAACAGTGCGAATGCACTGAGTGCCACTGAACTGTGCACTTAAAAATTAAGATGGTGAATTTTATGTTATATGTATTTTATGATACAATTTTTTTTTTGAGACGGAGTCGTGCTCTGTCACCCAGGGCTAGAATGCAATGGTACGATCTCGGCTCACTGCAAACTCCACCTAGTGGGTTCAAGCGATTCTCCTGCCTCAGCCTCCCGAGTAGCTGGGATTACAGGTACCCACAACCACACCTAGCTAATTTTTATATTTTTACTAGAGATGGGGTTTCACCATGTTGGTCAGGCTGGTCTCAAACTCCTGACCTCAGGTAATCCACCCGCCTCGGCCTCCCAGAGTGCTAGGATTACAGGCGTGAGCCACCACGCCCAGGCTATCACAATTTTTAAAAATTAAAAAATAAATAAGGCCAGTTTCAGTGGCTCACACCTATAATCCCAGCACTTTGGGAGGCCAAGGAGGGAAGCTCACTTGAGCCTAGGAGTTCAAGACCAGCCTGGGCAACATAGCGAGACTCCATCTCTACAAAAAATTAGTCAGGCATGATGGTGCATGCCTGTAGTCCCAGCTAGTCAACAGGCTGAGATGGAAGGATGGCTTGAGCCTGGGACGTCGAGGCTGCAGTAAGCTATGATAGTGCCACTGTACTTCAGCCTGGGTGACAAAGTGAAACCCTGTCTCAAAAAAAAAAAAAAAAAAAACTAAAAGTAAATAAATCAGCTTAAAAATAAACAAAAGAGGGCAGTTCTTAGAAAGATCCAGGTATCTCATTAGAAGAGGAGTGGCAGAATCGTGGGAACCAGGACTGCAACTGTGATACCACTAGGACGCTCCCCTCCTAGTCCCATCCCAGCTCCTTTCTGATCAGTGGTTTCTCCTCTCTGGCTGAGGCCGGCTTCTCCCCTGCTGGGAGAAGCGTGGCTGCTGATGGCTTCTGCCATTCTTGTTTAGTTCCAGTTCAAAAACCTCTCAGGAACGCCCTGCCATCAGCCAGCTCAGCCGACCGCCCCTCCCCGCACCCACCATAGCCAATATAGCGGTGTTGTATGAAAACCTGGCACCTGTCTCAGGGCCTCAGAGAGAGGAGTGAGAGGCAGATAGGACAAGAGACGCCAGCAACAAGACCAGTCAGGCTTCCTGGAGACAGGCACATGAATGGACATAGGGATTTGCATTTCTTTCCATCTTGCTTCATAGTGTAAGTCAACGGAAGTTTCCTGAATGCAGGACCATGAGACCTGGGCCTTCAGGGCTGCCCAGCCTTATTCATCTGCTCTGAATCTCTGGCTGGGGGTGCTGGTGCTGCAGCAAGAGAGGCTTCTGGGGCACCACCCACTCCCCCTTCCAGTTCTCTGTCTACAGAGGCCCCAGGGAGCCCATCCGCAGGTAAGCGACTCTTCAGCCTCTCCGATGGGGCAGCCGGGCTGTGGGGCCGACACTGGGGCATGGACTTTCCCCACACAGCACCGGGTCACGAAGGGCTGCGCCCGCATGGTTGTTCGGTGATGACTAAGGGGATCACTTGTGTCAAGCAGTCTCCCTACCAGAGGAGAAGCCCTGTTGGTCTGGTTTGTCGCAGTACTCCCGGCGCCAACATGCACTTGATAAATAACTGACAAGTACTAAACATTTATTCCTCCTCCCCACCAATCAGTATTTTTATCGCCATCGCAAGGTCCCTTTCTCAGATGAAGAAGCCTGCAGGATGAATCCAGCTGACAGATTTATTTTTGTATGGCCCACTTAGTGTTTTATAAAAATTTGAGTAAGTAGCCAACATTTAAAAATGTGAAGTCTTCATTTAAAAATCAGAATTCTCAACTTCTTTCAAAAAGCCCTCAAGATTTAGCCACTCTGGGCTGGCATTCCCGCATGGCAACCGTTGCCTAGAGATGAGCAGCTGCTGCCCCTTTAGATGGGCGGTGCACTCCAGTTTGCCACAGTCCCCACCACTCCCTGTAGTCTCACCTACTGGCCTCCATAGGTATTTGAGTATGAAAGTCCTGAATTAAGGCAGCATGTACTCTAAGCACTGTGTGTGTGTGTGTGTTTGTGTGTGTGTGTGTGAGTGTGTGAAACAACCACCCATCAAGCTGTTACCACTGAGCCCCGGCTTAACTGAATTTGCAATTTCATTTTCCACCTTGGCACTCACCAGAGCCAAGATCTGAGGGGGTGGGCATGTTGGTGGGTGAGAAGTCAAGTCTGGGGCAAGAGCAGCTGGTGTGAGTCAGGAGCTTGTTTTGGCAGGTGGCATTTGGCGAAGGTGACCTTCAAAGAAGATGTAGAACCTTCACCAGCCTCTCCTCCCCACCCTGGCATCCAGCGTGGACCCCCACGCTGCTGAGTGGCAAAGACCCTGCTGTCAGCACCTGCGGGGACATCCTCTTCCTTCCCACCTCCCCGGTGCCCAGCTCCCGGCTTCCAGCAACTCGTTCCCCCTTCCCGGCCCTCAGTTTCCCCCTGTATAAAATAAGAGGAGCAGTCCAACTGGTTCCTGGGGTAAGCCGTCCATCTCAAAAACATCCCTAGGAATCGCAACGACTTTGGGGGGGAAATGACTAAATAAGCACATTTAGAATCTGCCGCACTGGAGAGCCGGGCAGGAGCAGATGGCTCAGCAGCAGCGATTCGCGCCCCCGCCCCAGGACTCCCCACCCTGGGTTCTGACACACCAGAGGGCCTCCAATTATCTCCAGAGAGTCTGCAAAATTGGAAGAGGAGAATTCCCAATGCAATATTATTTCTAATCCACTCTGATTATTAAAATTAAGTTCATGCCCTTCTTCTGTGGCTGTGCGGGGTCTCAGCTGTGGCGGGCACCCTGGGGCCCTGGCTGTGGGAAGCATGGAGTCCGCCAGCCCTGCCTTCTCAGCCTGGACTGGCCCAACCCTGGAGGGCTGGAGTCTTCCACTAGCACCTCACTTGCCCCCATCCCTTGGGGCCCTCAAAAGTCATCTCGGGTCCTGTGGGACTGCAAGATGGTTTGCTCAGCCCACCCTGTCCCTGTACCTAGGTGCCTCTCAATCCTCTTCTCAGGAGTCCCTTTCTCCAAGGAGCCCTGAGCTTGCTTGCCTGATTATCTGTCTTCCTCTGGCATGGCGGAACCCCTGGAGGTGTCTGGGTGTTTCTATCTCTCTGACCCCAGGGTCCAACAGAGAGCCTCTTAAATGGCTCCAAATCCCCCCTCTAGAGCTGGCCCTGGGCTCCCTTCAGGGTCTCTACAGGCCCTCATCTCCCCCACCTGGCAGCAAGGATCTTGGCCACTCAGCTATCTACCTCCTGGTTTGGCCATGCGTGGCCCTGCGCTCACTTCCTCCTGCCAGGTCACACCAACCCCGAACCTGCTCAGGCCATCCCATCAGCCCAGCCTGCCATTCCCGCCTCCTCCGTGGCCTGGGGCCTCCTCTGAGTTCCCAGATCAGGACAGCAGCCACAGGAGCCCCTCAGGAAGTTAATGTGACCAGAGGCGGGTATAGGGGTCAGGAGCACAAGTGACTGTGCGCTCAGGACCAGGACGGGGCCCCACATGCAGTGAAGGCTACAAGGCAAAGTGAAGCCCAGAAGAGCAGGGAGCACAGCACCAGGGCTGCCGTCAGCAGTGGGCCAGGGATGGGGCGGGCCTGCGGAGGATGCCTGCTCCTCTGCCAGCGTGTTTCTGCCCCACTCCCATCTACTAACAGAAGGGCATCCCGGGGGAGCCCTCCCACCTCTACTCTGAGCTCTTGTAACCGAGTGGAATGGACCCAGCCCCAGGTCCTGACCCAAGCCTGGGCAGCGAAACTGATCCATGCCCCAACCACAGTGAGCAGTGGAAGGTGTCAGTACTTAGCCCCGGAGCTCTTTCTAAGGACTTTGACAGAAGCTACTGGGGTAAGACTCTGTCTGGTGGAAGGTTTCAGCCTTTGGTCATTGGTGGACTTCTTGGCTAATCACATAGCAAAAGCCTGCCTGAGAATGAAGTCAATGCAGAGGAAACCAGAGCCAAAGGGTAGAGAGACAGCTTTTAAGCACCTGGATCCAGCCATGCCTGAAGCCAAAAATAATTGGGGACTTCGGGTTATTTGAGCCAGTAGGTTTCTGTTTTTGCCAGAGCTTGTTTGAGTTGGGATTGTCACTTACAGTCCAAACAGTCCTGAAAAAGTGGTTATTCCAGAAGCTGATCCCAAGCCATCTATTTCCAATTGTCCCTGCCCTCAATGACCCATCAGGACCATCGAGTCACAGTGAGAAAACATCTGAAAAGAAGGTGTGAGGACACAGGAATGGGACAATCCTGACAGTTGCCCTCCAGGCAGGATGGTTTGCATGTTCCTAAAGGACTCTGGAGAGATACAATACTTTCAAGGTCCAAAGTTTGAATGACAGGTCTAGGCCTGAGGACAAGGACAGACCAGGAGTTGGAAAGCTTTTTCTGCAAAGGGACAAATGTAAGTATCTTTGGCTTGGGGGCCACGCAGTCTCTGTCAAACTGCTTTACTCTACGGCCATAGCTTGAAAGCAGCCATGAAACCTAGAGAATAGGTGTGGCTGTGTTCTAATAAATCTTGATTCACTGAAACAGGTGGCAGGTTCGATTTGGCCTGTGGGCTGCAGTTGGGAGAAGAAGCCTTCCCTCCTGTTGGTTGCTGGCTGGGAGGTCAGGATGCGGGAGCCCCTTCCTTCACCCCAGCCTCCAGGCTGAGAATAGGATCAGGGAAGCCAAGGCAGAACATGCAGCGGCTTCTCCCCAGGTTGCCCCTGTCCTTTGGTGGCTCCGACTACACAGCTGAGCTTCTGCAGTAGTCACACCCCAGGTACCCACCAGAGCTTGGGTTTGCAGATGAACAGACTAGAATCAGAGCCTCTGCTCAGCCTCGCAGTGGCTGTGTGACCTTGGGCAAATGACTTCCTCTCACCATGCCTTACTTGTCAGACAAGAATCATAACCTCTTCCTTTGCATCCCCTAGACATCATCTGCAATGGGGAATGGCATTGCCACATGTGATGGACACCTGTCACTCATGGCTGCCCCAAACTCTTGGAATGCTTGAGGTTCACTATCACTATTCATTCACTATCATTTATTCATTCATTTGCTATTAGTTTCCTGGAGTGGAAATCTGGCTCCCTAAATGAGAATTGCAAACATCCACTTTCCAGCCTCCCTGGCTGCTGGGCACAGACCAAGGTGAAGATTCCACCATTAGCTCTATGAGGTGCTTCAGGCTCCAACACTGAGAAGTGGGAGCCTTATAGGAAACACCAAGGAAAGAGAGTCCCAGCCCAGGGAACGGGCCAAGCATGTGCATGGCGAACAGCTCAACGAGGCAAAAGCCACAAGAGGAGGGCATCAGGCCTAGGCCCAGGCAGGGAGGGGAGGCCAGGGGCAGGCTCCACACAGTACCAGCAGGCGAGACTGATGGCACCTTGGAAAGCAAAGCAAAGCAAGGGTTTCCATAAAAGATAGCTAGGGCAGCCGCATCTCTGCTATCAAAGAAGAGGAAAACCTAAATGTTTCGCTGTCAGGAGGCAGTTACATATATCATGGTGCATGCCTACAAAGATCAAAAATGGAACTTAGGAAGAAGTTTTGGTGACCTAGGAAAATGTTCAAAGTGGAATGTTAAGTTAAAAAAGCAGAACATATGATCACAATATGGTTTTTAAAAAAAGACTTGAAGAAAATATGTTGCAGTCTTAAATAAGGAAGGTCGAATGATCTGTGGGTGATTTTTTTTTTTCGTGGAACAGTCTTTGCTCTTCCTGCCATTAGAGCTAGAGCTTGACTCCATTCTGAATCCAGGCTGGCCCCGAGGCCTGCTGGGCCCACAGAAGAGGCCAGTGCTGAGCCCAGCCTCTAGACAGACAGCGAGCCGCTGCCTGCCCCCAGGAGCCCTGAGGGCCAGTAAGAGTCGACCACCCTGGGCAGCCATGCAACTCAGCTTCAGCATTTGCAGAGGTACTGTGGCTTGTACTGCTACACCAGGAAGCCCAAGTTACACAGAGGGGCCCCACTGAGACTCTGAAGATGCAGGTGAGACCAGCTGTCCGGCCATCTCTGCCAGGTGCCACACAGGAGGGAGCTGCCCTTAGCCCTCTAGACCACTCAGCTGGCAACTGCAGACCAGTGAGGCACCTAGCCCTATGCCACATGAAACAGGAGAATTTCTCAACTGTACCTATCCCAATTCCTAGCCTAGGATATTGTTGTTTTAAGACTGAGTTTTCAGAGAATATGTTACTCAGCAATAGATAACCAGCTTGTGTCTTTTCCTCTTTTATATCTCATATGATGAGCTAGACATAGAGAAAGAAATGCACCAGGGGAAGTTACCCTGAGCCATGGTGAGATTCTACAGTGACGGGAGAGTGGTTTAACCTGTGCTGCACTTGTCCTTGATCCAGTGTCTGTTTGGACAGCCTGGCCCCTTTGAACAGGCAAAGACAGGCACACCCAAGCCAGCCTCTTGTGGGGCTAATGGCAGGCAGCTCACACTCCCATGAAGATGCCACCCTCTCGGAGCCATGAAGGTGTCTAATGCAGCCTCCACCTGGGCCAGCTACCCTGGTGCTGGGGGCACTAGGGCCAAGGGGAGGCCACAGACCACCTGCAGGTCCCCACTCTGGCTGTGCAGGTGAGGCTCCACCTTAGTACAGCCCTCACTGTGATGGAATTCCCTGAGAACCGGGAAGACAGATGGCACTATGAAGAGCTGTCACAAGGCCATTTTTCACCCTCCTCCCAGTTCCAGCCACGCCAGGGTCTTTCTTGGTCCTCCTCCTCCAGATGCAGCAGCGAACAACAGGACTGCTTGCCTGTAGTTAAGGACCCACCACTGTGTCATCTGGCCCAGTGTCGTGCTGGAGGACCAGGGGGTTGCAGGGGCTAACACCAGGCTGATCTTGCCTTTGCCATCTGTGTAACAGACTGAATCATGTGGGCTCGCTGTGTCCTTGCTGGTTGAGCCTATGGAAGTGGACAGGCTCCCCTCACAGCTGCCACTGCTGAGCTCATGAACTGCATGACTGCTTAGCACTCACACCGCCACCACAATCCAACCTTGCAGGGCTGGTCCTGCTGCTCCAGGGGCATCTGGTCTGTGCCTCTGCACACGCTGAGCCCTTTGCTTGGAACACTCATCTTCTGATTGCACTTGCAGGTCAACTGCATACTTTCTTGGCTACCCTGGGAGGCTTCCTGCAGCCACCGGCTGGTCAGGGATTCCCTTCCACACACACCCCGTTTGTGACCTCTCACTCTGACGTGGAGAAGTGTGTGTATCAAGTCCATCTGGAGTTGTCAGCTGTGAAAAGGCAACAGTAGCCCATCCAGCTAGCAGAGAAGGAGCCTGCAGGGGGAGGCTTGCAGCAGCAAATGTGGGCCTCATCTACCTCCTGCCTGCAGAGAACCTCGAGCCCAGACCAGGGCTGTGTCCTGGGGGTGGGAGACAGGGAGTGATGGGGGAGGCTGGAACAGCAGTGTTCAGAGTTGGGGGATGACAGCTTCTGCTGCTGACGGTCACAGTAGAGGGCATGGCTCCTCGAGCTTCTGAGCCTTCCCCAAACCCTGCTTACCTGCAGAGAGGGCATGCCTAGTGTCCACGCCTGGCTGGGCCTGCAGTGTCCCCTGCTGAGAAAGACGGGCCCCCTCATGGAGATGCAGCAGTGCCTTGAGGGCAGGCACACGATCCAGTTCCTGATGTGCCCAGAAGCACTAAGCAGACTTCGCAAGAGCTCCATGGGTTCTGATGCAGGGCAGGAACGAGACCAGATCTGGGATCAGACAGTCCCAGTGCAGTCCCAGCTCAGCCACTTCCAGCCATGACCTTGGGCTGGCACTCAACCTCCACAGGCCCCTCTCTTCTCTCTGATCAGGCACAGATTGTAACAGGGACCTTTCAGAGTAATTGTGATGAATAAAGAATGCAAAATGTGTGGAAGCAGCCAATTGGAGGCCTTAGAAATGCCAGATACTTAAAAATATCCATGGTTACTATCACAAAAAGACAAATTAAAAAAACATTTCTTGGGCCAGGCAGGGTGGCTCACACTTGTAATCCCAGCACTTTGGGAGGCTAAGGCGGGAGGATCGCTTGAGTCCAGGAGGTCAAAATCAGCCTGGGCAACACAGTGAGCAAGGGCTTGGGTGTAGTTGGTTTTTTGGGAAACTATCCAGGAAACGTAAGTAAGGGAGGGGGAGTGAAATGCAGAGGAAAGCAGGCAGCACAGAGTTTGCTCTGAGCAAGCAACCACTGTGGGCGGCCAAGGTCCATCCTACTGGGGCCTCTACAAGCCTTGGAGCACATGCCCAGATCCCCTGCCATGGCAACAGACCCTCACATATACAGTCCAGTACTCCTCAGCAAGGCTGCCCAGACTTCTCAATGGAGAAAGGACAACCCTTTCAACAAATGGTGCTGGGAAAACTGGATCTCCCAAAGCAAAAGAATACATTTGGGCCCTTACCTCACACCATATACAAAAATTTACATTTTTGTATACATATACAAAAAAAAATACATTTGGGCCCTTACCTCACACCATATACAAAAATAGATGGGAGACATAAACGTAAGAGCTAAAATTGTAAAACTCTTGGAAGAAAACACTGGGGAAAATCTTCATGACATTGGCTTTGGCAATGATTTCTTAGATATGACACCAAAAGTACAGGCTACAAAAGCAAAAATTGATAAACTGGACTACATTAAGTTTTAAAAGTTCTGTGCATCGAAGAACACAATCAACAGAGTGAGAAGGAAACCAGCAGAATGGAAGAAAATATTTGCAAATCATATATCTGACAAGGGGTTAATATCTAGAATATATAAAGAACTCCTACAACTCAATAGCAACAACACACACAAGCAATTCAAAAATGGGCAAGGGATTCGAACAGATGTTTCCCCAAAGAAGATATACAAATGGCCAAAAAGCACATGAAGACATGCTCAATATGACTAATCATTGAAGAACTACAAATCAAAACCATAATAAAACACCACTTCATACCCATTAGGATAGTTGCTATCAAAAAAGCAGAAAATAACAGATGTTGATGAGAATATGGAGACATAGGAACCCCTGTGCACTGTTGGTGGGAATGTCAAATGGTGCAACCACTATGGAAACAGTACAGTGGTTCCTCAAAAAATATAATTACTATTTGACCCAGAAACTCCATTTTGGGGTGTGTGATCAAAAGAATTGAAAACAGGGATTCAGGCCGGGCCTGGTGGCTCATGCCTGTACTCCCAGCACTTTGGGAGGCCGAGGTGACTGGATTATTTGAAGTCAGGAGTTTGAGACCAGCCTGGCAAACATGGTGAAACCCTGTCTCTACTAAAAATACAAAAATTAGCTGGGTGGTAGTGGCATGCACCCCTAATCCCAGCTACTCGGGAAGCTGAGGCAGGAGAAACACTTGAGCCTTGAGCCTGGGAGGCGGAGGTTGTGGTCAGCTGAGATCACACCACTGAACTCTAGCCTGGGCAATAGCAGAGTGAGACACTGTCTCAAAAAAAAAAAAAAGAAAGAAAGAAAGAAAGAAAAAGAAAAGAAAACAGGGATTCAATCAGATATTTGTACACAATATAAAAGCAGTATTTTTCATAATCATATTTTCACAATGGCCAAAAGTGTTGATGGATGACTGAATTTATTTTTTCAAGTGTGGTGTATACACACAATAAACTGACTCAGCCTTATAACGAAAGGAAATCCTGACCCCTGCTACTGCATGGGTGAACCTTGAGGATATTATGCTGGGTGAAATAAGACAGCCACGGGAGGACCAACACTGTATGATCCCACTTACATGGGGTACTAGAGTGGTCAAATTCATAGAGACACAAAGTAGATTGGGGGGTGTCAGGGGCTAGGGCAGGGGGATGGGGAAATTGTTTAATGGGGACAGAGGTTCAGTTTTACATGATAAAAAGAATTATGGGCCAGGTACAGTGGCTCATGCCTATAATCCCAACACTCTGGGAGGCCAGGGTGGGCAGATCACTTGAGGCCAGGAGTTCAAGCCTGACCAACACGGAGAAACCCTGTCTCTACCAAAAAACACAAAAATTAACCAAGCGCGGTGGCGCACACTTGTAATTTCAGCTTCTTGGGAGGCTGAGGTGGGAGAATTGTTTCAACCGGGGAGGCAGAGGCTGTAGTGAGCCAAGATCATGCCACTGCACTTCGGCCCGGGTGTCACAGCGTAAGACCCTGTCTCAAAAGAAAAGAATTCTGGAGTTGGGTTGCACAACAGTGATTATGTACTTAACGCTACCAAACATAACAATGGTTAAGATGAAAAATATTATATGTATTTTGCCACAATCAAAATTTTAAAATAGTCATTAGATAGTATATCCTTAATGACATATAACTTAAGGATAAAAAGAACTGTGCAAAATAAAATAAAAACAGTATAAACACTTTTTTTAAAAAAAGAAGTGCCCCCTGTGAGGCTACAGGACAGAGAAACTGGGGTCTTTATCCACCAGCTCTGTTCTTCATGGACCGAGGACTGTTCCCAGGGCCCTCCATCCATGAACTTCCAGGCTGCCCTGTCCCCAGGCGGCTGAGCCCCTCTAGCAGGTGCTCAAAGGGGTGAGCAGTCAGTGTGCACGTGTACAGGACATGCACCCCAGCCCGGGGCCTCGCAGAGGTGGCTGAGGACACACAGTGGGCATTCTCAGGGCCTACCCACCCACTTGGCGCTCTGCCCACTCATTCAGTCCTCACAAGAGGCCACTGTGGATCTCTCCAATGTACAGATGAGGAGCGTCACTCAGAGAGGTTGAGTGACTTGCCCAAGGTTGCACAGTTAAGAAGCCACAGACACGCACCCAGGTGGTGGCTCCGAGTCTGTTCTCTTAGCTTCCACGCTGTGCTGCTCCCATGGATGAAGACCCACCAATGCTGGCTTCTGGCATCGTTTGGCCACAGTCTCATTGCACAGCTGCCCTACACCCGACCCATGTGGCTCACAGACATCCCAGAGATGAAAAGGAAGCGGAGTACCCCCAGGAAGGCCAGTTTTCTACAAAGGACAACTCCAGGGCATGTGTCTTGCTGTCTGGGGTCGATGGATCAGAGAACAGCCCAGCAACTGTGGCCCCCACCAGCCAGAGTGTGGCCCACTGCCCTATCGATTCTGCGAGGCCACAGACCCCTCACCCCTGCAGAGGGTCAGCTGGTAATCACGTGGCAGCTGCACCAGCCAGTGGGAGGCGGACAGCAGGGCCTCCTCTCGGCAGCTCTTGGTCTTTAATTAAAGCATGCCCAGCCTGGGGTGTGGCCGGCAGGAGGCAGGAGGTCAGTGCAGAGGAGGCTACGGGCCAGGCTGCAA
The DNA here is from genome assembly GCF_000001405.40 of Homo sapiens. Taxonomy (NCBI): domain Eukaryota; kingdom Metazoa; phylum Chordata; class Mammalia; order Primates; family Hominidae; genus Homo; species Homo sapiens. The sequence continues at coordinate 127,092,882 of NC_000003.12, read as the reverse complement.
TTAAATCTTTCTCCTGCTGTCCCTCCAGGCAGGCCACAGAGCAGCCTTCCCGTCTGCTGCATTGGGCAGTGGCGTGAGGGACAGGGAGGGGCTGCTCCGTGTCATTCACTCCCACCCATGGGGGCTGAGCTACTGTGCCCCAGTCCCTAGGGGATGTCCATGGAACTGGACAGGGTATTTCTTGAGGGTAGGGCAGGTGAAGGTCTGGGGGTCTGGGAGGAGGCCTTCAGAGATGGGGTCTTCCCACTCCCTGTGCAACCAGAGCCCAAACTAAGGCGGGGATGGACTTTGCCCTCAGACTTCGGGGTTGGCCACAGTTAAGGAGGCGAGAGGCCATCCCAGTGGAAGGTCGGCTTGGGAGGCTAGGGCCTTTAGGTTAGGGGGCAGGGGACCCCAGTCCTCTGCCTCACCCTGGGGTGTTCAGGGTGGGGTTGCCATAGTGCCTGCAGGCTCCTCAGGTGAGAGGGCTCTCAGCTGCAGCCTCCACTCTTACCCCCTTAGCCAGGAGGGAGCAGGTCATTGTGGCCTCCTTAGCTGCTCCCCACACGAGGCTGGCTGACCTACTTTAGGCCCCAGCCACAGCAAAATCATGGTCTGGTAGCCCCTCCTCAGATGACACAAAGCTTCATTTCTTCATTTAGTCCTGAGAAAACCAGGCTTGGAACCCAGATTTCTGTTCAGTTCATTCTGCTCTCTCTCTCTCTCTCCCCCTCTGTTTCTCTCGCACCCTGCCAGCCTCAGGGCCTTTGCATGTGCTGTGCCTCTGGCTGGAGTCCGTTCCCTGACACTCTGCCTTTGATTGCTGCTGAAATAGCCCCTCCTTAGGTCAATCTTCCTTGACTGCCCCTCCCCAAGATGAGGTGACGGCTCCCTTACTAAGCTCCCACAGTACCAGGGACCACTCCTTCCAGCTCTCTCTCATAATCATGATAGTAAACATAATAGACGCTTACTGCATATGAGGCATTGGTTTAAGTCCATTATGAGGATCATCTAACAGATTAATGCCTCACAATGACCCTATGAGGAAGGTAACCTTGTGGTAGCAGATGGTAGTAGAGCCCATCTGGGGTCCACCCTACACCCGACACCCACAGGAAACTGCTTGGAGCAGCAAACAGTAGAAGGCTCAGAAGGACACTGAGCATCTCCCAAACCAAGGTCCTAAAAGGACGGTGTGGCGCCCTCCTGCCTCCTGTGGCGCCCTCCCGCCTTGCTGTCTTCCTCTCTCCCTGGGGACCTTCACCCTGGGAACCCAGCCACCCTATCACAAGGGGGCCCAGGTCATGGAGACACCACATGCAGGTGTTCCAGCTAAAAGCCCCCTCTGGCCCAGCACAGCTGCCAGCCATGCGTGCATGCAAGCCTTCACATGGCTCTGCCCTCAGCCCACAAACCCCCGCCTTCAGGTCTCCCAGCTGAGGCCCCAGACATCACAGAGCAGAGACAAGCCATCCTCACCTTGCCCTGTCTGAATTCCCGACCACGGGAAACAGGAGAAATGTTTGGAGGTGAATTTCCCACAGTGGTCTGTCACGGCTGGTTAATGTCCCCACTTAATACGAGAGGAAACAGAGACACGGACAGGGTAGGCAACTGGCCGAGGTGACACAGCCAGTGGGGTGGATTAGCCTTTGTTCATCATTTTCATTCCCCCTCCATGAGTGTAGTGTCCTCCCCACCCCAGTGATGTGGAGCTCACCGGTGTGACCTGCACTGGCCACTGGAACATGGTCAGAGGTGGAAGGTGTGAGTTCTAAGCTGAGGCTTTAAGAGGCACCTTCAGGGAACATCCAAAATCTGCCATGAGGATTGCCCAGAGAGCTGTCAGTCCAAGGAGCAGGAAGGATGGGCCACCCAGCCAGGGCCCGAGGTGAGGGTAAATGCCAACTATGAGGCCTGGCGCTTGGGGCAGCTGTGACACAGCATTACTGTATAACTGATGCTGCAACTGGCCCCCGTGCTGTGGCTGTGACTATAGCCAGGGCCAGTTGGCCTCAGAGCCTATCTCGGAACCATTAACCCACATCTCAGGTTTGCAGGTATGCTCTCTGTCCCCTGTCGTAACACGGATGAGCTGTCTCCAGGCACCCTTCTGGAATCCTAGAACCAGAACATCCAGGAGCAAGGTGATCTGGGTTTACACCGTGAAGTTTGCTATATGGTAATAGTGACCCGAGCGGACTGGGTATGGCCCTCAGTCAGATACAAGAGGCCCTTGAGAAGGTGGCCCCCAGCCCTGGGCACTCACCCAGCCTCCTGCCGTGCCCTGTGACCTAGATCCTGTGGGAGCAGCCCTCCCTGGGGGCCCAGTGCAGGGACAGAGCTGGGCTGGCCCTGGGTGGAGAGAGGAGAGGGCAGTTACTTGCATCTCCCTTCTTCCTCCCTGGGGGGCCTAGGGTGAGCAGATCTGCCAGGGCCTCTGCAGGCAATAGCCCCGAAAAATACATAGAACTCCCCAACCAGGGGACAGGGCCAAACTCAGCTCCCTGTGGCATTTGACACAGTCTCCTGAGAGGGAGGAGGGCACCAATGAGGGCCACCTTCAGGGTTCAGCTGGGGGACAGAGGAGAGACCCCCTCCTGCAGCCGTCCCTGTGTGGACAGCCCCCACCTGAAACTCTCATAGATTCCATTTCACCGATGAGGACGCTGCAGCCCAGAGAGGTGTATGATGCACCAGGGTCACTTGGCTGGAAATGAGGAGCTGGAATCATGGCCCTGGTCTGACAGAGTCCTGAGCTGGGCTCTCTGTCCCACCCCTCCTGGCATTGGCCTCTGGTAACACCATAAAGGCACCTTAAAGAGGAGCCAGCCATCTGTGAGACTGGACCCAGCCTCAGCCCTCCTCCACACCCTCGCCTCCCGGCCCCTTCCTCCCTGCCCCCAGTCATCACCTTCACAGCTGCTGTGCCCACTGCACAGCTCTCTCCCTGTAGCCTGCAAACATGTCTTTCAACACCAGCCCAGGTGTCCCCTCCTCCAGGGAGCCCTCTTGGCTCTGCAGCCTGAGCCAGGTGCTTCCTCCAGCGTCCCCCAGACCCGGGCTTCTTTCTTTTACAGCAAGGACCCGATGCCCCTCTGAATTCTAATTATTTGTACACACGTGTGTCTCCTCCAACCCCACCACCCTGGGAGTTCCTTGAGGGCAGGCATAGAACTTTGTGTTCACCTCTGTGTCCTCAGCCCAGCCTGGAGCTTGGAACAGAACAGACAACAGAAAGAATGAGTCAGAGGTCCCAGTGGACCACTGGCCAGATGCTGCCTGCAGGCCTTGGCAGAAATGAAGCCCCATCACAGATGTAGACTGTAGGACCTCCAGAGGCGTAATTAAGATTTTAGAGTGAGACAGAAACACAGGGGCTTCTCTGGTGTCATTAATCAATGTAAATGATGCCACTAACACGCAAAGGATGGTGACAGGATGTCAAGGTCAGGTATTGGTCAAGGGACCTGTGGACAGAGGGTGGGGCAGGCAGGAGCTGGGGACCCAGGTTCCAGAGGGATGCAAGAGAGAACCTTGCTGGTCCCCTCCAGGCTGGGGAGGGGTGGCCTGCCAGCTGCCTGCCAGCCTGGAGTCCCAGGCACGAGCTCACGTCCCCCAGGCCCATGCCTTGTCCCCCAACCCTCCCTTCACCGCGGGGTCAGTGTGAGCACTCTGCCAGGCTCCAGGACACTCAGAGCAGTGGCCTGAGGACGTCTGCTCCTCTCCGCACACAGGCAACATGCTGAGCCTGTGGCAGGGAGTGAGTTCAGAGGCCACCCCCACTGCCCTTCTAGGAAGTGTGCCTTTCATTTCCTGAGATCGCCCCAGGCCAATTTCAGCCTAGGCATTGGGTGTGGGGTCAGGAAAGAGGAGAAGCCTGTGAGGTATTTGTCCCCACCTCATCCAGAAGCCAGCCCACTCCATTCAGGAAAAGTGCTATCAGGTGAGGGCCCAGAGGCCCCAGGGGCCAGGCGGGAGGCCAGCCTGCAGGTCCCTCGCCCACAAGGAGGCGGCCCTCCCTAACCTAGTGAGCGTCCCAGTAGCCAAGTCCGGCCAGGTGGCTCTGACAGTTTAGGAGAAACTAGAAATCAAGATTCTTATGTGAAATACACAGATGTTCAAATGTTACCCCAGAAATGAGAGACAAAACGTGTGGGAGGGGACAGCAATGCCGGGCCTACCGCCAGGGCTCGGGAAGAAGGGATGCGCAGGAGTTGGGGGCCCCCAGGGCACACACAGCAGCAGTGACCCCTCCTGGGAGAGGTGGACTCCAGACCAGGAGGGCACAGGCCCAGGCGGCTGCATGGCAGGGTGCCTGCGTCACCTCACTTAATCCGAACAACCTCTCTCTGTGGTGAGTGCACCAGGTCCCCTTTCACAGTGAGAAAACTAAGGCACAAGGAGGTGAAGTCACTGGCACAGAGGCACACAGTGGCCTTGGTAAAGCCAGGCTTGAACCCCAGATCCCAGGGACTGGACGCCTGGCAAATTTTCCTAAATACAGTGGTTCCCCCTCATCTGGCTAGCACCAAACCCCACATCCACTACACTTACATTTCTGTGGCAAGGTTTCATTTCTGAATTAGGCACAGTAAGAGATGAATAACAACAGCCAATAATAAAACAGATCAATCATGACAATATGGCATAATCACGCCAATGTGGCCTCTCTCTGTCTCCAAATATCTTCTTGAACTACCCTTACCTATTTTTGGATGGTGATTGGCCACGGGTAACTGAAACTGTGGATAAGGAGGAACTACCCCCCGTTATGTGACTCGGGCATAACAGAAAGACAGTGTTTTGTGGGTTTTGTGGTGGATTTTTTTGCATTCTGGAATTGCTATCTTCCAAGCCCCCATTAGAGACACCCCATTTAAAAGGACCCATCAGTGTAGACAAGGAGAAGCCCCAGAAAACTCCCGGCAGACTCTTGGGTCACTGTGAGACCCTCAGCCCCTCTTCCTTGGGATTCATGTGACACTAGGGAGGGAGACCCCAAAAAATGCCTGAAATGGGATTTTCCTTCCACCTCTGGCCAAGCCAGGTTCCATTTGGTTCGTTGAACTGTGCCATGTGTCTGTCCAGTCCTGTGGCATGGCCCACACACTGTGCTTCACTGTCATGGCACCGCAGGAGGGGAGGCTTTGTCATCGTCCCCTCTGCAACTGAGGGAAGCCTGGCCCAGAGGCTCGCTCCAGGCCCAGGGTGCTCCCAGGGGCTGAGCCAGGGTGGAAGGAGTGGCCCCTGTGGTCACAGGCACACCAAGAGGGGAGAGATGGGGCCAGGACCGCAGTCAGGGCAGGTGAGGGCGCAGTGGTCGGAAGGACACGTAAACACAGACCTTGCACCAGGAAGGCTGTGGAAGGTCCAGGCCAGCAGCAAGGGTGGTGTGACCTGCCAGGATTGTGGCGGATACAATTTGCCTGGCCTCAGCTCTTGTACCAAAACACAGAATTTTGGGGGGAGTGGGTACAAAAGTAACTCATAGTCAACATAGGAAATTGGAAAAGTACAGGAAAAAAATACAAAAGAAAGTTGAAATTGTTCATAACAATACCAACCAGAAACACCCTGTTTATGGTTTGGAATATTTCCCACCAACGTGTTTGGGGTTTTTTTTGCTATCAAGATAATACTGTGTATACAACTGTCGAACAGGCTTTACTGCAGGTAAACTCAGTAGCAGCTTCCCCATTGCGATAATAATCGTGAACACCCACTTGTAATAAGCCCACGGTGTCCCAGCCTGGAGCCACTGTGCTGGATTTACTCAGTCTTCCCTTTTACACGGACAGCTATGTTGTCTTATTTTTCACACTCACAAACAACTCACAACAAGAACATAACTGTGAAAAAAGATTTTTCTTTTTTATTGTCTTTTACATTAAAAAAAAAATTGGAATGTGGAAACAATTCAAAGACTACAAAAGGATATATAGAAAAAGTGAGTTTCTCTCCCTCATTCCCACTGTCTTCGTGTCCCAAGGCAGCATCCGGTCCCGGGCACTGTGTCTCCTCTAAGAGGCTTTCCACACACATCTAAACACACACACTCTAACACTCGCTCCGTTTTCCCCACAATCCGCAGCATGCAGCCTGCTGTGTCCACCTCACATACGCACTGGACCTTGTCCTCACTGGGACGTCGAGATGAGTGAGTGGCTACAGAATAGCATGGCTGGTGAGCGCCTGGTGAGCTGACAAACCAGCTCTCCAGAAAAATGCAGAGCTCTGAGCCGTAGCCATTGCCAATGCTCATGGTGTAAATATCGCACCGTGGCTGGGCCAAGCTACCAACAGTCTAACAACTGACTGGTGAATTGTCCAGAATACTTAACACTCATCTCTCAAGAGCCAGAATAAGCTGGCTCTAGCCCAGAAGACAGATCGCCTTTTGTATGGAGGAGTGGGGTAAGAAAACGATCGCCTTAGAACCGATCCCCAGATGTGGAATTTCTAGATTCAAGGGTATAAACATTTTTATTTTTATTTTTATTTTTATTTTTTTTAATTTTATTTGAGACAGGGTCTCACTCTGTCACTCAGACTGGAGTTAAGTGGCTTGATCATGGCTCACTGCAGCCTTGACCTCCTATGCTCAAGCAATCCTCCCGCCTCAGCCTCCTGAGTAGCTGGGACTACAAATGTGCACCACCATACCCAGCCTTAACGTTTTCAAGGCATTGGTAGATTAACCAAATTACCACCAGAAAGGCTGGGCCAATTCACATGCCCACCTGCCAAGGCCAAGCATGCCCATCTGAATACACCTTCACTCATGTTGGGTGTCCTCAGGTTTTTAATCTTTGCTAATGAATGGGAAATACCAGTGTCATCCTGTGACTTTAATTTGCCTGGTGGGGGGTGGCGGTGGTTGGGGAGGCAGTCACACCACTGCTGCTTAGCTAAGAAAAGCCAGCTGCAGGTGGACCCTACCAGCAGCCCCGTCTCTCCAGCCTGGGTGGTGGCTCCTGGTGCAGCAGGGTGCAAGGGTGGGATGCCAAGGTCCAAACAACTTTGACAGCCAGTCCTGTCCTAGAGCCACACACAGGAAAATCAGGGCCCTCGAAGGGTCTCTGGTGGATATTCGAATGCCTGGCCTGCCAGCGCCCAGCACTGCTGGGTTCGCAGTAAGTCTAGTCTACGTACCTGCCCACACTCGAGGGATGTGCACGTATGTGCGTGTTCATGTATGTGTTTAAGGTGGGCCCAGGGAGGCAGCAGAAAGAGTCCTTTCCGGTGTTCCCGGTCTCCAGACTCCCTCTCCCTGCACAGCCCCCATGGGTTTATGAGCTCTGAGGGGAGACCGTTCCGGGAACAGCTATGCATGAGGAAACAGGCTGGGACACAGTGCTGCTGGTGCCTGCTTGGACAAGGCCAGGTCCAGAGCCAGAGTGACCCAGAGTGGCCCTGGGGCCGCCTCATTCTATTTAACCAACACCGGGAAGCACTTACTGTATGCCAAGTACTGTTGGGAGGCTTTTCTAATATTAAATTTCTTAATGTTCCCAACAGTGAGGAAACCAGAGCACAGAGAGGGAAGTAGCTTACCTGAGGACACACAGCCAGCAAGGCAGGACAGATCCAGAATTCAATCTCCAGCCTGACTCCAGAGCCTTTGCTTCTAAATGCCATGGCTTGGACCAAGCACATGGGGGTTGGAGCCCCAGCTGCCCATCTTCTGACATGGCCTGTGTGTCCTGCAAGCCCCTGTGGCTCATCCCAGGCACCCACGCAACACCTCCAGTGGTTCCTGGGAATCAGGAGCTCTGTTTCTCCTTACCCCTGCTTTTCGTGAATTCCCAGTTGGCACATCCCTGTTGGGTTGCCGTGCCTCTTCTGCACAGGATTGCTCAGGTTGTGCACAGCCTGGAGTGCTTGGATGCACGTGGGGTAGGCAGTGGCCACAAAGGAGCTCCAGGCTGGGGGCTGCAATTCCCAGCTCTGGCCCATATCCCAGGCATTGTCCACTGGGCCTGTCAATGTCACAGCCTCTCTAGACACCCTCTGGGGCCCACTGACTTCAGGCCACCCTTCCAGGAGGACCTGAGTTTTGTACTCGAACACAACAGGGTTCACCTCCCGCTCTGGCCTCCCTCCCTGTGTGCCCTGCTCCCTCAGTCAGCTTCCTCCTCTCTGCAGGGGATAACAGGAGCCCTGACTCCCAGGGTGTTACGGGTGGCCCAGCACCCACTGCGCATGGTTGGCTGCTGTTCTGGTTGCCCAGTGGCCAGGTCACATCGGTGGTCACATAACCGGGACTACGTGCCTGCCCTGGTCTAAAACAGACACCTAGTCATCATCCCACTCATAAACACCCCGGCCCAAGCCTCTGAACCCAGGTCTACCTGCAGCCCTGCCTAGGGCCCCAGCTGTGCTCACCCGGCTCTGCAGGAAGCCCCATCAGCATCACCTACTTGAAGGGAGGATGGACAGGGACCCTGTAGCCCCCAGCCAGGCAGGGGACGTGCTGGAAAGGGTATCTGAGGAAAGCCTTTGGGCTCTAAGTTGAGTTTCAGATCAGAAAGCAGGCTGACCGAGGGCAGCTGCCTGTGGGCTGGTTGCTAAGGAAACCATTGGATGAGAATTTCCAGGCTGAGTCCGCTCAAGATGCTATTGATCAGCTGAGAGGAAAGGACCTGGGAGAGAACTTCCCAGAGAGAACAAAGAGAGAACGGGCACGAGGCCAGCCTCACCAAGACAAGCAGTGCAGGCTGCTCCACAGGGTAACGGTGGCTGTGCCCTGCATCAAGGCAGAGCAGGTGATCAGTGTGGCCCCCAAGCCCGCCTCTTACTGATATGTGGAGCCACGGTATCCTTGCCATGGATACTGATCACACCACCCTCGGCTGCAATGAGGACTAAAGGAGCCAGCAGACAGCACGTGCCTCGAACAGTGCCCACACATGGGTGCTGGTGGTCAGTGCGGTTTCCAAGCACTCACCATGCACAGGCTCAGTGCTAGGTCTCAGACCATTTGCGTCTCTATACAGGAACACCTGAGTCTGGGGAATTGATAAAGAAAAGAGGTTTGTTTGGCTCACAGTTTTGCAGGCTGCACAGAAAGCACAGCAGCAGCTTCTGCTTCTGGGGAGGCCTCAGGAAGCTTCCACTCATGGCAGAGGTGAGGTGGAGCTGCATGTGCAGAGGTCGCACTGAGATAAAGAGAGAGAGAGGGAGAGGGGAGGTGCCAAGCTCCTTCTGACAACCAGATCTCGCAGGAACTCATGGAACGAGAACTCACGCATCACTGTGGGGAGGGCACGACGCCACTCATGAGGGATCCCCCGTGACCCAGACACCTCCCACCATGCCCACCTCCAACACCGAGGATCAAGTTTCAACTTGAGGTTTGGAGGGGACGCAAATCCAAACTATGTCATTCTAGCTTCTGTGCCATCCACTCCTCACTGTGAGGTGCACGTCACAAAGCAAATAATGCATCACACATGCAGACATACATGACACATGCATACATGACGTGCATGCACACATACATATACCACACACGTATATCATACATATAAACATACACGCTACTATATATGTAGCACACAAACATACATGGCATAATACATGACACGTAGACACAACACACACATAACATATGCACGACACGCAAGCATGACATCCATAACATCCATAACACGTATACACATGTTACATGCATGCAGACATTCCTCCTGCCTGTGCAGGAGGAATCGTTATCCCCACTTTACAGATGAGGGAGCTTGTGGGATTTCTGGTGCTGTGATGTGGGCAGGGAGATTGGGGCAGACCCAGTGGGAAGATGCCTGCAGAAGAAGGGGGGATGGGAATTCACATTACTGAGCATGTGACACAGGCCTGGCACATTACATACATGATTCCATGCATGCAGTGCTGGGCAGGGAGCTGGGACACTGTTCCAGGCTCACACAGGTAAGTCGGGTGCCAGATCCCACCCCAGGTTCAAGGCCCAATCTGGTCCACACTAACCCTGCATGGCAGAGCCAGGTCCTTCACTACTGGCTCATGGATCTAGGGCATGGATGGGGGACATCAACTTCAGGTATGACTCAGTAGTATTGTCATGGCCACACACCCTCTTCTTACCTTGACCTCCCTCCTCCTGGGTCAGCCTCACCCTTCACACTGGCTTCTCCTCATGGCTGACAAGATGCCCCCAATGTCTGCAGGCACATTTCTCATCCCTTCCCTCAAAACAAGCTGGGGCCGGGCGTGGTGGCTCATGCCTGTAATCCCAGCACTTTGGGAGGCCGAGGTAAGTGGATCACCTGAGGTCAGGAGTTCGATACCAGCCTGGGCAACATGATAAAACCCCATCTCTACTAAAAATAAAAAAATTAGCCGGGCGTGGTGGCACATGCCTGTAGTCCCAGCTACTCAGGAGGCTGAGGCAGGAGAATCGCTTGAACCCGGGAGGCAGACGTTGCAGTGAGCCGAGATCGTGCCATTGCACTCCAGCCTGAGCAACAAGGGCGAAACTCCGTCTCAAAAAAAAAGCTGGGGAACTCTTGGGCTGCCCATCTCTGAGCCAATCCCTGCACCTGGAAGGATCACATGTTCTGACAGACTCAAAATTGGAGTTGAATCTGTGCCCAGAGAGCAGACAAGGCAGGCACTGGGCAAGTAGGGCTGACCCAGGGCACCCTTCCCCTAAGGCTGGGTCTCGGTTCCTCCTCCCACGAGAGGGCATCTTACCTGCAGGTTGCAGGAGAACTTGACAGTTTGCAGAGTGCTTTCCCACCCATGATCTATGGTCCTGCTTGCCTAATGTACATAATAACAGCCAATTTTTTGTGGGGACCCCCCCAACTCTCAGGCCATGAAGTTTTCTTGGTGCCACCTTCATCCCCAGGTCCAAGGATGGCCAGGTGACCTGGCCTGGCTAATCACTGCATTTCTTTCCATTGTTCAGTGATGGGTACCTGACCTCGGCAGACACAAATAAGGCAAAATCCCGGACTTTGGCAGCAGTTGTTGGAAACAAAACATCTCTCTCACCGGTGTGGCTGAAGAGAGGCCACAGCCTGGAGTTGTGATGCCACAGAGAGAGCCTGCCCAAGACCAGAGCCCAAACAGAGGAAGAGAGAGCCAAGAGCTGGAGAGGGACAGGGCCTGAGGCCATCACTGAAGTGCTGGGGCCCAGCCACACCCAAGGCCCAGCCCTCTTCTGCTGTGGGTGCCCATACATGCCTCTTTCCTTGGGCCAATTTGAGCCAGCATGCTGTCCCTGCTGCCCGTTGAACCAGAAGAGTTCTGGTGAACACAGCTGCCCAGGACAATCGCCACATCTTCAGTGGAGCCTCTGGCAATAGCCAGGATGAAGTTTGTTTCTGCAGGCTTTGCTCACACCCACGACAGCATGTTCCCTGTCCTGCTAATGCCGTTTTCTTGCATGTTCGTCTCCCGTGACAGGTCATAAGCTGCCCAAGGGCAGGGGTCCCGTCCCCACCAGCTGTGAAGCCATGTGGTCTTGGAAAGAAACTCCAGTTTGGCTGCTCACTGCTCAAAAAGCCAAATATACAAGAGGCCAGGTGTGATGGAAGGAAAGTGGCCTTATTCAAATGCCAGCAGATGAGGAGCTGGCCAGGCATCAGCCTCAAAGAAGCCAACCCAAATTTTTGGGCTGACTGAGGGGGTTTAAATGGGAAACTTGGTATGGGAAACATGCCGGAGCAGTGCAGGGCGCAGGTCTGCACTCCTTCCAAGGGTTATCTTGAGTCCCTCTGGATACCAGTTGACACTGTCTCAACGGCCGCTGGGTTGCAGATTAACCACCTTGAGGTAATCTCTAGGTGGGGGAGAATGCCACAGCTGCACCTGCATGCTGGCTTGTTTCAAGCTTAGCCCGAGTTTCTAAGCAAGTATGTATTCATAGTTAGATGAGCGTGCATGGCACAAGGAAGGGTCTGGTGGGAAAGGGAGGGAAACAAAGAATTTCAAAGTACATTTCAAGGCCATATTCTAAGATTAGAGAAAAGAAGTTCTAAAATGGATTTTAAAGCTGAGGTACTCGGGTACAGACAGGGGAGGTGGAGCAGGATTCTGCGTTGGATGCAGACACCTCAGTTCTGCACTGGCCCTTATGGCTATGTGACCTTGGGTGTTAGCTGTGGCTCTCCGGGCCTCAGCTCCTCCCTCAAAGCTGGGCTGAGGATTGACTGAGAAGATGTAGCGTGGCACCTGGATTCAATTTTTACTTACTCATTTACCAAGTTATTCTCTGGTGCCTTCTATGGGCCAGGCATGGTTCTCTGGGCAGGAACAAGGTCCTTATGCTCCAGAGGAAGGGAAAGGAGGTGAACAACTGAACAAGCAGAGTGAGATCTTCGCAGACAGCGGTGAGTGCTATGTGGACAGGGGCTGGGACTGTCCTAGAGCAGCACAACCCGATAGAATCTTCTGCAATGATAGAAGCGGTCTCTACTGGGTAAATATGACTACAGAGCACGTGTGAGGCAGCCGCTGAGGTTGAGGACCTGGGTTTTTCATTGTATTGAATTTTAAGTCATTTAAATGTTAAAATGGATGTTCAAATCAGTTCAGTTATTTTGGAACAAGGTGGCTATGGAAGTAGTCTCTTTCAACAGTAAGTTGTATCAGACCTAAAAGCAGATCAAGTATTTCCTACAAAAATTTAGCTTCTGAATTGACATGTGTTATACATGTAAAATACATGAAATTTCAAAGATAGTACAATAAAAAAAGTGAGAACACAGAATACCTCACTGACATTTTTATATTGATTACATATTGAATAATAATATTTTGGATAAATTGGGTTAAAAATATATGAAAGATAAGTAAATACAAACAGACATGTAAATATATCCATACATTTAAATTAATTTCTTGTTTAATGTGGCTACCATAAAATTTCAAATTACATTTGTGACTTGCATAATCTTTCTCTTGGATGGGGCTTTTCTAGAGCATTCTTGGAGGGGGCAGTGGTTAGACCAGGGGTCAAGGAGAGCCTCTCTAGGGCGGGAACACTGGAGCTGAGAACTTCAGGAGTGGAAGGAGCCAGTCATGTGGAGACGGAGAAACAGCAAGTGCAAGGGCCCTGCAGCAGAGTGCATTTGTCATGTCTGAGGCACAGAGAGAAGGTAGCTGCCTGCATATGAGTGAGGGAGAGGGAGAGGCAATTCCTTCAGACATATGGGCCATGCCCAGACCATGTGGACTGGAGAGTCCATGGTTTCCAGAAATGGCCTCACCAGCGTCTCTCATTTCATGTGCTCTTCTGCAAGTGACACAGCCACTCTCCATCTATGTCTCCTGGCCTTGAAACAGCATGCACTTGTGCCTTCTTGGACCACTAGAGTCCAGTGGAAGCGACATTATGTAACTTGCCAGGCTAGGTCAGAAAAGGCCTGCATGCAGCTTCCTCCTGCTTCCTCCCATGCTCTCCAGAAACCCCTCTCAGCACCTGTCCGCCATGCTGTGAGGAAGCTAGAGTCCCTTGGGGACATGTGGGCAGGCGCTCCAGTCTACAGGCTCCACTGAGCCAGACCTGGTACAGCAGAAGCAAGCCACATGCTCAGGTCCCATCCAGAGTCCTTGCACACAGAATGCCTGAGCAGAACAACATGGCTGGCATATTCCACCGCACAGCTACTCAGGGTTTGTCACCTGTCCGTATTTGCCAGGACATGTGACACAGTGAGGCATTTAAGCTGCATTCTAAGCTTCTTCAGCAGCCTTTAAGCATGCAAGTGGCAGGATTTGACTTTTAACGTTTAAAAGATGCCCTTGGCTGCTGTGCTGAGAACTGATGGGGGAGGGGCAAGAGTGGAGGCAGAGAGGCCAGTAGGCAGCACTGAGGGGCAGGGTGCAATGTGGACCACGACACTCACGAAGCTCCCTGCTAGACCTGCATTGCCTCCCAGGCCTCCCGCAGCCCCATTGTCACCACCACCCCCTCAGACAGACGAAGAAAGCGTGCACTCGAGGAAGCCAAATGATCAATCCAGGGTCACAGGGCGAGCGACTGGCCAGGAAGGATTTGAACCCTGGTAATCTGGCTCTGAGTCCCTCCCCTACCCCCCCTGCTGGGGTCTCTCAGGACAGAAAGACCCCAGCAAAGACTCAGTGCCCAGTGCCGGGCCCAGAGACACCAGCCAGGGTCCTGAGCTGGGTAAGAGCCATCACCTGGGACCCGTGTGTGTGGGGCACTCTGCTTCCCCCAGTTCCTGGAAATGTCTCCAGCTTATCCACTTGCTCTGACCACGGTCTGCCTTTGGTATGGACACCTGGTAAACCCCACCCAGCACTGGCCTGGCCAGACCCACCAGGGAGGTGCGGGGAGGATTCTTTCCCAGGAGGCATTAGAAGACCAGAAGCCATTAATATCTGCAGCAGCCTTGGGCAAGTCCTTCTCCTCTCTGGGCCTTAGTTTCCCCATTCTGTAAATGGGCGGGAAAAGAAAAAAGACCCTCTAAATTTCTTCTCAGCCCTAATGCTCTGGAAGGCAAGAGACCTGAGACCTGGGCTGATTTGTCCCTTGGTTGCAAGTGACAGAGACCCTGTTCCAAGGAGGAATGGACTGGCTCAGGTCACTGAAAAGTCCAGGGGTAAACTTTAGGTGTGGCTAGATCCAGCGGCTCACCCAGTGTCATTAGAAACTCATCTGTCTTCTCTCTCCATCCTGAGGCAGGGCCTGCAGGGCCTGGCAGCTCCAGGCTTAATATTTTTGCCCTTAGCTATACCAGAAACCCCAACCACCCCCTGACATGGCCTTGACTGGCTCTTCTTGGGTCACATACCCACCCACTCAGAGACCAATCAATGTCCCCCAAGGGATTAGAATGCTCTTGGTGGCCAGCTTGCTCACACCACCTGGTTCACAAGGAGATAGAGCCTTGAGACTCCAGCAGTTGGGGTCGGGGGTGGTTTTGAAGGCAAAGGAACCAGCAGAAGTCCTCTTGGCGCCCTCCTCCTAAGTTGTTGTGAGATGGGGGAATAGGTCATGGATAGTATGCAGGGTTATGTGGCCTGAAGTGCTGTCTGGGCCAGCCACCCTCAGGATGGCCCAAGCCCTAAAGCCTGCCCACACCCCCGACCCACGGCCAGTCTGCACACGGCAGAATCAAAGACACCCATGTGGCACTTCCTGCTCAAAGCTGCCCAGATCTCTGTCTCCCAAGGCCCCACTAAAGAGATTATGGGCCTGTCTTTTAGCAGAAACCCTGGGCCTCTGGGCTGGCTCTGCTAATCCCGACAAAGGATAACAGGCCCCTAATTAATTCTCCAAATCTGATGGCAGTGTGAACACCAGCCAGTCCACCCGCCTTAATGAGTTTAATCGACTGGACTTGACGATTTTATTCGAAACCTAGGGCCACAAATTAAGCTCTTAAAAATGCACTTGAACTTGATTGGCAGCAGTAATCCCAACAAAATCTGTTTAATCCTTGGGCTGCCCACGCAGGAACAGCCCGTGCGGGGCTGTGGGCCTGCAGCTCAAACGCTGGGATCCCCTCCCTTCTCAGCTCCAGGGCTGGGTCTCCTCTGCCTTCTGCCTTTAGGCCAGGAGGGAGGACCGGGAGAAAGAAAGTGCCCCGCCTCACCCCTACTGCCCAGGTGCACACCTAAGTACCCTTCAACCCTGGCCCAGACTACTTCTCCAGGAGTACTTCTCCCACATTTCCTGGTACGGCTCGTGGTGCTCCCACCACTGGTGTGACTGGCTCGCATGCTCCGGGGGCAGAGCCACCTGCTGCCCATTCCTGGGTCCCAGCCCCCAGCTTAGGTGCTGTGAGTTGAATGTTGTTGGTGGCCAGCTTTGCACAGATGGCCCCAGGGACATGGCCCCCATGGACTCTGTCCTCCTGAAGAAGATGGATTGCAAAATTGGCCACAAGGCTCCATCCTTCCTCTGGAGTCCCTTGCCCCACCATGTGATTCTGGCTGGCCAGATTTTGCTTTGACCACTAGCATGGGTGGGAGTGATATGCCACTGCTCAGCCTACACTTCACGCTCCCTCAGAGCCCTGCCTCTGCTTGACCACAAACTTGGCCTGGAGGCTGCTGGAGAATGGGAGGCCCTATGGAGCCAGGTGGTCCCTGTGGAGGTCATTCTGAGAGGTGACAGTGTGCTGGCAGCCCTCGAAGCCCTCGCTCGCTCTTGGCGCCTCCTCGGCCTTGGCGCCCACTCTGGCCACGCTTGAGGAGCCCTTCAGCCCACCGCTGCACTGTGGGAGCCCCTTTCTGGGCTGGCCAAGGCCGGAGCCGGCTCCCTCAGCTTGGGGGGAGGTGTGGAGGGAGAGGCACGGGCGGGAACTGGGGCTTCGCGCCACACTTGCGGGCCAGCCTGAGTTCTGGGTGGGCGTGGGCTCGGCAAGCCCCGCACTGGGAGTAGCTGGCTGGCCCACAAGCCCCGGGCAGTGAGGGGCTTAGCACCTGGGCCAGCAGCTGCTGTGCTCAATTTCTCGCCGGGCCTTAGCTGCCTCCCCGCGGGGAAGGGCTCAGGACCTGCAGCCACCCATGCCTGAGCCTCCCTGCCCCGCCGTGGGCTCCTGCGTGGCCTGAGCCTCCCGGCGGAGTGCTGCTCCCTGCTCCACGGTGCCCAGTCCCATCGACCACCCAAGGGCTGAGGAGTGCCGGCAAATGGCATGGTACTGGCAGACAGCTCCACCTGCGGCCCCGGTGTGGGATCCACTGGGTGAAGCCAGCTGGGCTCCTGATCTGGTGGGGACTTGGAGAATCTTTATGTCTAGCTAAGGGATTGTAAATACACCAATCAGCACTCTGTATCTAGCTCAAGGTTTGTAAACACACCAATCAGCACTCTGTATCTAGCTCAGTGTTTGTGAATGCACCCATTGGCACTCTGTATCTAGTTAATCTGGTGGGGACTTGGAGAACCTTTATGTCTAGCTAAGGGATTGTGAATGCACCAATCGACACTCTGTATCTAGCTCAAGGTTTGTAAATGCACCAATCAGCACTCTGGGTCTAGCTCAGGGTTTGTAAATACACCAATTGACACTCCTTATCTAGCTAATCTAGTGGGGACCATGGAGAACTTTTGTGTCTAGCTCAGGGATTGTAAACGCACCAATCAGCACCCTGTCAAAACGGACCAATCAGCTCTCTGTAAAACAGACCAATCGGCTCTCTGTAAAATGGACCAATCAGCAGGATGTGGGTGGGGCCAGATAAGAATAAAAGCAGGCTGCCCCAGCCAGTAATGGCAAGCCACTGCATGCCCTTCCAGACTGTGGAAGCTTTGTTCTTTTGCTGTTTGTAATGAATCTTGTTACTGCTCACTCTTTGTATCTACACTGTCTTTATGAGCTGTAACACTCACCACGAAGATCTGCAGTTTCACTCCTGAGTCAGCAAGACCACGAACCCCTTGGAAGGAAGAAACTCTGAGCACATCCAAACATCAGAAGAAACAAATTCTGGGCAGGCCGCTCTTAAGAACTGTAACATTCACTGCGAGAGTCTGTGCCTTCATTCTTAAAGTCAGTGAGACCAAGAACCCACCAATTCCGGACACAAGTCTACAGCAGCCAGCCGGAAAAGTCAGCAACAGGACACTGGTTCTTGAACAAGCCCAGACCACGGAGTTCAGCCCAGGCATTAGAGCTCAGTTAAGACCATAGAGCTCAGCCCAGCCCAGCCAAGCATAGCCCAGACTATGGAGCTCAGCCCAAACCACAGAGCTCAGCCCAGCCCAGCCAAGCATAGCCTAGACTACAGAGCTCAGCCCAACCCAACAGAGCACAGCCCAGACCACAGAGCTCAACCCAGACCAGCCAAGCACAGCCCAGACCACAGAGCTCAGTTCAGACCATAGAGCTCAGCCCAGCCAAGGATAGCCCAGACCGTGGAGCTCAGCCCAGACCAACCAAGCATAGCCCAGCTCACAGAGCTCAGCCCAGACCACAGACCTCAGCCCAGCACAACAGAGCACAGCGCAGACCAGCCAAGCACAGCCCAGACCATGTAGCGCAGCCCAGTCCAGTCAAGCACAGCCCAGACCACAGAGCTCAGCCCAGACCAGCTAAGCTCAGCCTAGACTTCCCAGCTCAGCTTGCCAATACTTAAAGTCTGAAAATAGTATATGATATTGTTTCAGGCCCCTGTGTTTAGAGGTGGCTGGTACACAGCTCAGCTTCCTGGGACACCTCCCCCACTAGCCCAGCTCTCTGCAGAGTTGTGGTAGGTTCTGCCTTTACCCTCCAAGGTCTCCAAGTGTTTAGGAGCACCCGTTGGAAGTACGCTGTCTGCCACAGCCAAGCCTTTGCTTGAGCCTGCCTCACCCCCAAGCTCCCCTAACTTGCAGTCATTGCCCCTCACTGCCCTGCTCTGGAGCTGGCCCTGTCATTAACTCACCAGCCAGGTCTCACTAACTTCAGCTCTTTGGGAGCAGAGCCATGGGAATGAGCCTTGTCTTCCCAGAGGGTACCTGGCTGTGTTCAGATTGAGTTTCCTCCTGCCCAGTGACCAGGGCTGGATTGGATGCTCCAAGTAAAACAAACACACTAGCACATGCATGCACACACACGAACACTTGCACATGACCACACACACATGCACACGGATATGCTCCTACAGGCACCACACACAGTTAAAATAAGCTCATTATACTCTGGCCGCAGGACAATTTACCCTGTAGCTGTTTGCTAAGAAAGCCACTCAGAGAGGACAAAAGAAAATCCAGCTTTTTTATATATTTCAAAATATGTTTTCTCTATCAGATTGGCCAGACTCCAAGTGTTTTCAGTCTGCTCTGTGGGCCAGACCTCAGGAAAGTGAGCACTGCTTGCCTTGCTGCTGGAAGGGTTCGTGGCATGGCCTCTATGAAAGGCAGTGTGGCAATTCCCATCAACATTATCCACTGACCCAGCAATCCCACCTGCGGAATTTTGCCCTGCAGGTGTACCTACCCACATTTCAAGAGACTCTGAGCAAGATTACCCACACCACATTGTTTCTGGCAGCAAAAGAACAGGAATAGCCCGAAATGCCCATCTCATTTTAAAACCTTGCAAATGCAGCATCTGTTTTACAAAAATAACAATAATGAAAAGCTGCAGAGTCAATGAGTGAATGCATGCTGGTCAAGCAAGCAGTCATGGTCACTGGGACGTTGGGAACACTCCGAACCCCACTCTGATGCCTGCCCAGCTGCAGCCCCTCCTGCGGGTGTCAGCACCGCCCCACCCCACAAAGCTGGCCTGACGCCTCCTCTGTCCCTCCCCAGCCCCTCCTAGCACACACGCCAAAGGGACTCTAGCCATCAACCCGCTGCTCGTCCCAGTTCTACAGCAGCCCAGAGGGGCGTCCAGGGCTGACTGAGCAGCAGGGCGGCCTGAGGCCCCAGGGCTCCCAGCGCCAGCCCCGCCTGTGAGCCCAGGAAGCAAGCTGCTTTGATGAAATTTTCACACTCCATGCATCTTTCAGGAGGAGGAGTTGGGTGGGGAGTGGAGAGGGAAGCTCCCTAGATGCTTTCTATGCTAGGGCTGGGCCTAGGGGCTGGGACCACATCAGTGAAGGTAGACCAGCAAGCCCCAGCCCTCCACCCACCCCCACTGGCCATACCAGGCAGGAGAGGAAGGCCTAGGAGGGGAGCAGTCACCTCTCGTTCTCACAGCAGCCGGCTATGGCCCTCTGACCACTGGTCTCCACTCTGCAGTGGTCAAGAGTGAGGCTTCTCCCCAGTCCTTGCCCTGCACTGGCACACGATGTTGGCAGCAGATGGACAGAGGGTCAGCTCCCAGTTACCTGTGTCCTCAGAGGCTGGAGGAGTCTGGTCCCCACCCTCCCTGCCTGCCAGGCCTGCGTCTCCACCTGGGAAGGGGCACCACACCTACCTGCCAGATGTTCCACACCCAGTACGTGCTGGGGAGCAGAGGGTCACTCTGCCCCATCCATGTCTGTCTCTCTTCTTTGTCTCTCTGCTCCAGCCCTGTCTCCACCCTCCATTTGGCTTGGGAAAGTCCCTGTGCTTCCCAATCCTGTTCTCAGTTCTCCCATTTCTCCTGGGAGTGAACAGGTGTGTGATCCGACACAAGGGAGGTCCTCCATGCCTGGGCCTGGCTACTCTGCACAAGTGGGACCCTCACCCAGCTTCAGGGCAGGCCCACACCTCCCAGCCTTGCCCAGCCCCACAGTCTCCATATGGGTTCCTTCAAGGCTATGCAAGGATTCCAGTGCCAGTAGTGTGCATGGGGGCTGAGCCCAAGACCCCCTGGAGGGCTGTGAAGAAATGAGAGGGGGAAGGGAACCTGCTGGGAAGGGCTCGACACAGGCGGGTGGCCACTTGCAGGTGGCTGAGGTTCAGTCCCGTGGACACCAGAGACTTCTGAGGGTCACGTGTGGGGTCTGTCCTTGGCACTTCCACCCTGCCATGCGTGCATGAAGTTGAGCAGCTCTGGCGACTTTCAGGCTGGGGCCAGCACTATGCACAGGGCTCCGGCTGCGTTTGCTTGCTCTTCTCCTCCCTGAAGCACTTGGTCATGCAGTTGTGCCCACTGAGAGCTTGCAATGGCAGCTCCCACTGTCCCTGGGAAGCTGCTCTTGGCAGATGGGGGGAGTCTATCCCAGCTCCTACCTTGAAGACACTTCTGCCACTCCCCGGGGGTCTGCACTGGCTGCCTTGCTGGGCCCTCCCTCCTCTCGCCTCCTGCCCCAGACTTGCTAAGCCCATGTGGGGCGGCAACGAACCCTGCATGTGCTAATTCAGCAAACATTACCCAGCTCCGGCCAAGTAACAGCACTAACTAATCCTGCCAACACCCCTGCAAGGCACATACCCTCACTGCCTTTTACAGATGAGAAAACCAAGGCCTAAAGAGCCAAGGTGACTTGCCTGAGGTCTCCCAGCCAATGAAGAGTGGAGCCAGGGCTGAAACTGGGCCTGTCTCACACCAGCCACCATGTTTGAAACCCCCTTGGAGGACAAGCGCCGACTCAGCCTCCGTGGGGCTGCTCAGGGACTCCGGGGCGCTGGCTGTCTAAGGAGCAGACCCCTCTGGACGACACCCACATCTGCTGGAGTGGCAAGGGCACACGCTGCTGCCCCAGGCACTCTGCCCACAAGTGGCACCAATGCCTGGGCTCTAAGTGGCACCCCCGCACCCCAGTTATACCTGGGCATCATGTGACCACGCCCCTCCTGCACCCCAGGCCCATTTCAGCCTGAGCTCTGTTGGCTCGGCCCCTCTCTCTTGAATCACTCATTCCTTTCCCTCTGCACAGCTGCCACCTGCCCCACCCTGTCCCTGCCACCATCTTCTCTTGTCTGGCCAATTGCAAGGGCATCAAAGCAGATCTCCTGACGCCACTCTTTTACAACATATTTCCTGCTTCAGCTCATGGCATGTCTCTACTCCAGAGCCTCATGAGGCTTTCCCTCACCCTCCTTACCCTGGCCTGCCAGGTTGCATGGTCCACCCCCTGCTGATGCCTCCACTGTCACAGGGCCACCTGGTCCTCACCCCACACTCTACCCCATCCTCACTTCCTCTGCCCACTGCCCTCACCCCTTGCCAAGATGATCCCTTCATCCTCCAAGCTCCAACTTAAATGTCCCTTCTCAGGATGACTGCGGCTCCTTCAATTGTTCTCCAAGCTCTCTGAGCATCTCAGCAGGGTCCTGTACAGATGGAATTTTCCAGAGACAACCGTAATGACACTTTCCATATGACACCCTTCTGCAGCGTGGCCTTCCCATCCTCCCGTCGTGCCCTTTGGATGTGGGCAGGATGGAGCCTTGCTTGCAGCCAGCAGAAAGTGCTGGAAGTGGCGCTGTGTGATGCCATGGTGAGGTCAGGACAGCCACACCGCCTGTTCTCGTTCCCTGGAGCACTGCAGCTGAGGCTCCACCACCTCAAGGCCACTCACGAGTCACCTGTCTTAGCCTTCAAGTTCTCCCAGGCCTGGCACCAGATGTGTGAGCAAAGGAGCCCCCACTCACTTCCCATCCCATCTCCCCCAGCCTTGGAGTCTTCCCAGCCGGGCCTGGAGTACAAGCCAGCCATCGCCTGCCATGCCCTCTCCGAACTGTAGCCACAGCATCTGTGAGTGCAACAAAATGGCTCAAGTTGGTGCCACTACGTGGAGGTGGAGGATTTGCTGTGCAGTGATGGAACCCCGGCATTCCCAATCCTCCCAGCCTGGCTACAAGCAGTCTGTGCCTTTATAGGAGCAGAACCAGGACGGGTCTTTCCTTTGAGGAACAATTTTCTAAGTCTTTTGAATCAGCAAAGGACAAACCAGGGTCCCTTCTGGAAGGCAGTGTCTGGCTTCCTTGTGGATAAGAAGGGCTGTGGGGGCAGTTACCTGCACCCCTGACTGGCTCACTCTGTCTGGGTGCTGGGGCAGGAGTGGGCAGATGAGAGTCTTTGGCTCAGCTGAGGGAATTCTCATGGTGAGGATGAGAGTCCCACGGTGTGGCAGGGCCAGGGACTCGTGGCCAAAACAGTGTGGGAGCAGGCTCTCCTAGAAGCTGGTTTTAAGGTTTCCTTTCCTGAGTAGCAACTCCCAACACACTCAAAGTATGGTCCTAGCCAGTGGCGTGCTTGTCACCTGGGGACTTGTTGGAGCTACCCAGCCCTGTGCGCTGGGGCCCCACCCTGGAGCAAGCCCAGACCTGAGGCTCTGTGCAGGCTTAGGTCTAAGAGCCTCTGCCCTCCGTAACCAGGACAGCCTGGGGGTGGCTGTGGGTGGGGACTTCTGCCACCTCCATGCTTGGGGGTGGCAGTGTCAGGGCTACAGGGTTCTGAGCAGCAAGGATGGAGGACGGCAGAGCAGTGAGCAGGTAGTGTGGGGCGGCGTGGGAGCTGGGGAGACGTGGACAGCCATGCCAGGGACCCTGTGCACTGGACCAAGACCAGCCAGGGCCAGTGTGCAGGCGATCGACAACAGGCTGCGAGCTCGGGAGCGGGGCACAGGGCTCGGGGCACCCTCAGCCCACACTGGAGGACCAGCAGCAGCTCCTGGAGCCCCCTGGCCAGAGGGGTCTGGTTATCCACAGAAGTTTCCTCTTTAGGAATGGGGTCTGTGCTTTTTGAAGGAAGAAACTGAGATTTTACTAGCAACTTTTCAGTTCGTGACCCTCATGTTACTGTATTGATTTGTATGTTAACTTGACCTTCCCTGCCTTCTGCCTCTCCCTCTCCCCTTCCTCTCTCCTTCCTGGTCCTGTTTACTTGGAAGGCGGTTGGGTAACTTGTGTGTTTTTGGACAGGAGAGAATCGTTTAAAATGTTGCTCTGTGATTATACTTTTTCTTTGGTTGTTATATTCCTTTTTACTCATAACTCCCTAGCCCTTAATTCTCATTTTTGACCTATGGTTTCATCTACTTAAAAAATTACCTCGTGGCGATGAGCTTCACCCTTGTTCTTAATCTTCGCTCTTTTGTGTTTCCAGCCTTCTGCTTGGCAGCTCGTTGGCTTCTCACCTTTTATCTCCTTATCCTGCATCTCATTTTCCTATCTTTTATTACATTTACATTCTAAAGTTCTCATCTTTGTTAGGTTTCTGTGACTCTCTTGTTTCTAGATCTTGTGTCATGCACTGTAACAATATTACTTCTTACGCTGTGATGCCTGATTCTTTATTTTCATCTCTGCAGCCTCCTGGGATGATCCCTCTCGTCTGCATACCCTTTCTCACCTGCTGGTAGGCCTCGCGCTGCTGCTCACGCTGGCAGACGGGCAGTGTGGGCTGGGGGCCAACATGGGTGGGACAGGGCCCCTTCACCTCCACACACTCTACCTGCTCCTCTCCTGGGCTGCTCGAGGCTCTTTGAGACACTTGTCCTCTGAGAGCCCAGGACACCCTCTCTCGGAGGTTGGCCCCACGGCTTTCCAGGACCAAGAGGCTCTGACATTGCACGCAGGGCTCCAGGGGCAGCTGGCCTCAACCTGAGGTGGCCACCCCATCATCCCACATTCAGAAGCCACATGGGGTGAGGAGGCAAGTGGCCGAGCCTGCTGACACCCTGTGGAGAGAGGCCTGAACCCATGGGACCCTGGGCTGAGCCCTAAAAGCCAGAGGGACCAACAGAAGAGCTGGAGATCCTCTTCCCTGATGAGAGCTACACCAAACACGAGAACCAGGAGCACCCCAGGAAGCCCCAGTGAGGAAGCCTGGGCGGGAGTGGCTGGGAAGCTGCACTTCCCCAGGCATGGTAGGATGTGGGTGGGGGCACAGGAGCCGTCAGCCTCCCAACAGTGCCTATAAGTGTCAGTCCCGTGGCCTGTGAACACTCTATCCACAGACCAACCTCTGCGGGTACCCCCACGGCAGCTGGGGTCCCTCTGGCTCAGGTCCCAGCCTCATCACCTGGATGTGTGAGGGCCCACCAGGGCCCATATGTGAAGGGGGACAAGGACCCCCGCCTTGCAGGGACATTCTGAGAATCTGTGTGTGAGACACTGGGCACAGGGCCACGGCCCAATCCTTCTGGGCTCCTGTTTTCTTCTCCTCCTTCGTCCCGGCAGCCAACCTCAGCACCAAGGCTGCTCCTAAAAGCAGACTCCTCTCCCCACGCCCAGACCTGTGTATTCGTTTTCTATGCTACACAGCAAGTTACCACAAATGAAGTGACTTAAAGCCTTGCCCATGCAGGCCGGGGTTCGGCACAGGTGTCTTCAGGCTGGATCTCAGGGTCACTGGGGCATGGTTCTCAGCTGAGGCTCCCGGGCCCTCCTGTGAGCTTGCTGGGTGTTGGCAGTACTCAGCTCCTTGCAGTGGTGGCACTGACGTCCTGTCTTCCTGCTGGTGAGGGGGGCTACTCCCAACTCATGGACAGTGCCCGCCAGTCCTGGCACACAGCCCTCTAGTAATGTGGCACTTGCCTATCAGCAGCCAGCAGGAGCTCCTCTCCCTGGACTACTGAGTCCAATCTAATACTGCCTGATCCCAGGTGTGACGCTCCATCACCTTGGCCACTGAATGTGATCTCATCAAGGGAACAGCTGTCCCATCCTATTGACAGGTCCTGCCCATGCTCTAGTGGATGGATCACACAGGGTGTGTGCCCCTGGGGCAGGAATCTCCAGGCCATCTCAGGATTCTTCCCACCACATCCTGCAGGCCCACAGTGTTCCTGAAGGCCTCCGATCAAGAGCCCTGACTCTTGGTTAATGATGAATTTTGCCTAGCAACAATTGCCAAGCAACAGCTCTTCAGAAAGAGATGTCAAGGTATTAAACAGATACTCCACGGCTGGGATGAGGAAAGACAGGTCAGTGGGTGCTGGGCCAGGCCTGCATGCAGGACATCCTCTGTCCAGGCTGTGCTGGTGTTGGGGGCTCCAGTTGGTCCACAGACCTGCTGTGGGGCCTTGGGAAACTCATGCTGCCCCCTGGACATCAAACTGGACTCACAGCTGAGCTGTCTTCCATGAAAGGAGGCAGGGAAGTCAAGATGGGAACAAGGGCACGTGATGCTTCTGGAGCCCTGAAAGGCTGTGGCCACGTAACGGAGAGCTCTGATGGGTTTCCCTGAGTCGCATCAGGGGACAGCTTGGCCCTGGCATTACCTGTTTTTCTCTCCTTCAAACCCTTGGCCCTCTCAGTGCCTGTCCCTGTATGGGACCCGCCACTCACCTGCTCATTCATCCACTCATTCGGTGAGTGCTGACCACTGACTGTGCATGTGTCAGTCACACTCAGGGAGGAGGAGCCATGGACCTAATGGAGCTATGACATGGTGTGTCAGATGGTGGGGCTCAGTGAGCACAGGTAAAGCTAGGAGTGAACCACACACGGAGGCCCGCAGGCTGGCCATCCCCTTAAGAGGTAGCCCCTGACCCTTGCCATCATTCCTGCCCACACTGACCTCTGTGCCACCAAATGGCCAAATGGCTTCCATAAGATCTATACCTACAGCCAGGTGCAGGCACACTCACACTTATGTGTGCATATACCTACCTATCATATATGTCATCCATGTATCTGTCATACATTCCCCAACTAAAGGGCATCCACCACTTCTCTGTACCTGCTGTCAAGTCCACACCCTCACTATGGCCTTCAAGGCCTGCTCCCAGCCCTGTCCCTGGACACCATCCCCCATGTCTCCCCAGCCCAGGCTGCATGTGGACAGAGAGGCCTGGACACCCCTCCTTGCCCTTGGTACCAAGGGGAAAGGCACCCCCTCCCAAAGGCAACCTCTGGAGGTGTCTGCTGAGTGGGTACCAGGCTGCAGAGGGAAAGCCATTCACAGAGAACAGAAGAGATCCCAGAGACAGCCCCAAACAGCAATGGGAACCAGAATATGAATGGTGCAAAACCAGTGCAAAAACCAGTGTTGTTCATCAGTGATCCCATGAGAGTCAAGATAAAGCTGGACCCCTGCCTCACACCCCACACAACGATCAACCAAAATGGACTGAAGGCAAAACTATGAAACTTCCAGAACACAACATGGGGGAATGTCTTGAGAGAGCCCTTGAATGAGCAGAAACAAAGGAAGAGATAAAATCAGTTCCATTAAAATAAAGAATCTCTGTTCACCAAAAGCCCCATAAAAAATGAAATCACAAATGACAAGCTGCAAGGAGATATTTGTAACCCATGTAACTGCAAAGCATTAATATCCAGAATATATAAAGGACTACAATAGTCAGTAAGGAGACTGTGATTGAAAGACAGGAACAGGCATTCCTCATGAAGAAAATTGAAATGGCCAACAAACCTTGTTAGTAACCTTGGGGATCTGAATGACAATCACGTGAGATCAATTTCTCCCCCACCGAATGGGGAAGAATTAGAAACTGGACCACACCCTGTGTCAGCGGGGATTTGGAGGAGTGGCCGTGCTCCTCCTCCACCAGGATGCGTGAATGGCTGCAGTCCCTTGGAAGAACAGCGTGCTGTCATCTGGAGGAGTCTGCATGCACCCACCTCGCCTCCCAGTGCCCAGAGGCACATTCAGGAATGTTCCACACAGCAGCCCTGTTCAAATGGCTTGAAGATGGAAGCAGCCCAAACATCCACAGACAAGAGTTGTGGCAGGTTCGCACCACGGGACCTCCTACAGCGGCAAAATGAGCTGGGCCTGCCCCAGAACTCTCCCGGTGTCCACACTGAATGCCCCGTGTCCTGGGAAACCCCTCAATCCCAGGCAAGCATGTGCAGCTGGTCGCCTGAAGGAATCCCTGCAACCCCAATCAACCTCAAAAACATGATGTTGAGCAAGAGAAGCAGATCCCAGAAAATGTGTGTGGTGTGATTGCATTCCTCTCAACTCGGAAACGCACAAGCCAAACAGCACACTGTTTAGGGATGGAACTGTCGCTAGAAGCCAATACATGTTTAGCAACACACTACAGAAGAGGGAGCCACGCTGAAGGAGGAAGGGGAGGGCCGAGGGGCTGCTTTAGGGGAATACGAGTGTCACCTTTTTTAACCTGAGAGGAGGCACAGGTATTTGTTTTGTTACGATTCTAAAACTATGTAAATATATTTTATACACACTTTGATGTGAGCAGTATATGACATCATTTTATAAAATTATTTTTAAAAGATTGACTGCCATGTATATTTGCTATTTGTTGTTTGAGAATAAATATATTCAAATATCCCCCAAATGGGCTGTCTCAATTTTGTGAGAGAAAGAAAGAAAACAAGGGAGTAGGTGGACTTCAAGAGTGACACACAAACAAGCAAGCTAGTGAGTGGCCCGTGAGCCGCGCTGGGGAGCACGAGGGGCACATGGGGGCTGAACACGGATAAAGGCAGGGAAGGGCCAAGTAGGCAAGAAATATTCATGGCACACCAAATATTCATGAGCCAGCAGCATATTGAATACTCCTGGCTCAGTGAGAATACTCATGACTCACAAGGAGCTACTTATGAGTCATGAGGTCCTAAGCTGGTCACCCACTGGTGACACCCATGTGGGCCCCTCATGTCCTCTCCTGCAGAATCTGTAGCCATGCCTGGGAGCTGTTAATCTGCCCACTGGTGAGACAGCTGTTGGCCAGCACACTTGCCCGTGTTGCCAGTGGAACAAGCCTTGGCCCCAGGCACCCCCAGATCATCCTCAGCTCGGGTCCTTGTGATGCGCTGTCAGCTGAGGGGGCATCTGGTCCCAGAGGCATGGCCCACCAGCACTTAGGGGTGGGACCTCCACCCCTGCCCCCGTCCTGAGGGTGGCACCTCCCGAACCTTGCCTCTTGCTGTGTGTTTTATTTTTTGTCATCGGCCATGTGCACTGAGACATAACGCTGTGTCCTATGGAGACAGCATCGCATGGCGTCACAGCTGTGTCCACAAGGCACCCACTGAACTGAAGGTGGCGAGGGGAGGGTGCTGGGCGCTAAAAACAATGCCCGGCCTCCCTCTCCAGTATGTCAGGGACCAGGGAGACTGTCCCAGCTGGAAGGGGCGGGTTGGGAAAAGGGAGCCCCCATAAACCACTGAGAAGGAGGGCTCCAAGCCTCAGAGGAGAACTCAGAGTGCAGGGGTCGGAGGAGGCCAGAGGGAGAAACTGCACGACTGACTTAAGGGAGACGTGACAAAAATAGGAAGGCGAAACATCCTTAAGAATCAACGTGCAAGAAGGACCTCTCAATCCCACAGAGACCTTGCAGGAGAATAAAATGTCTATTTTTTAATTCTCTGGTTTATGTAGAAATTCCAACAGAACTCAGAGAGTGGCATGTACCATGGCCTCCTTAGGGTGGTCTTCAAGGAGGGCAGGATGGGCTGTGATGATCTGGTCTGCCTTTGTGTGAACAGCCCTGCCTGGGCCCGCAGGCCCTCAGCACCCACACAATCCCGCTCCACACACTCCTCTCCAGAGAATGTGCTAAGTCAGCTAGGCACCTGGTCCTGAGGGAGAGGCGGACAGAGAAAGTAAACATAGGCGTACATTGTTTTCAAACTAATCTGTTGGGTTGAAATACTTATGAAACATATATTTAATATGTGATACACATGTATATGTATGTAACATGTGATACACATATAACAACATATCTATTATATCATATGTTATACATATTAAGTCATACATATCATCTGTATTACATATGTATTATGTAATACATAATGATATATGTTATAATAATACACACAAAATAACGTGAAATACATGTTTAAAATGGCTTTTTTTCACAAGGTTTTTCACAAGAATAATTAGACTTCTTAAGATTCCATCAGCAAGAGAGTGTGGGCCAGGCACACTGGCTCACACCTGTAATCCCAGCACTTTGCGGGGGCCAAGGCAGGAAGGTTGCTTGAGCCCAAGAGTTTGAGACCAGCCTAGGCAACATAGGGAGCTTGGTCTCTACAAAAAATGTAAAAATTAGCCAGGCATGGTGGTACACACACATAATCCCAGCTATAGGAATTACAGGGAGGCTGAGATGGGAGGATTGCTTGAGGCCAGGAGGTCAAGGCGGCAGTGAGCTGAGATCCCACCACTACACTCCAGCCTGGGTGACACAGTGAGACCCTATCTCAAAAAACAAACAAAAACCCAAGAGACTGTACGTAACTTATGCTACATTCTTGCCATAAAATACCACACAGTTCTTAAAAAGGATAGGGCAGATGTATGCCCTTTGGTTTAGAAAAGCATCCCTGATAAATGGGACCTGAGAAAACTCAGAGTTCAGACTAAGAGTGTGTCCAGAGCTCCTCCAGGAGCTGACACTGAGACAGCGAGGACAGGGAAGGAGGCCGGAGTCACATATGGGAAAGGACAGACGGAAGCAGCACTGGGCAGGGAGCCCTCCTCCCTGGTGCAGACCTGACAGCCCGACGGGGAGCTCAGAGCAAAGACGGCTGGGAGGGGAGCCTGCGCCAGGCAGAACCGGACAGGCCTCCATCTTGCTCAGTCACTGCTGACCTTGTCTCAGCACCTGAGGCGAACCCCCTGCTAAGGGAGCTCACAGCCCAGCCCCCCCACCACCACCCCCACACCACGGTGGGGTGGCAAGTGCCTTCCAGGAGAGCTCTTCGAGACGCAGAGCGTGATTACAAGGACAGCCAGGGAACGTGTACATGTAGGCACAAATTCTCAGTCTGCAGCTGTCCACTTGCACAGAGAAAGGACACATTCCTGACAGCTACTGTGTGGCATCTAGGGAAGGGGAAGGTGGCAGAAGGTGCTAAGAAAATGTCACTTTTTTGTGTGTGTTTGTTTTGTTTTACATGTGTCTATGTTGTTTAAGATATTTCTGTATCCACTAACCTTATTTATTTATTTATTCATTTATTTATTTATTTTGAGACAGAGTCTGGCTCTGTGCCCAGGCTGGAGTGCAGTGGCTCAATCTCGACTCACTGCAACCTCTGCCTCCCAGGTTCAAGCGACTCTCCTATCTCAGCCTCCCAAGTAGCTGGGATTATAGGGGCCCGCCACCATGCCTGGCTTATTTTTGTATTTTTAGTAGAGATGGGGTTTCACCATGTTGGCCAGGCTAGTCTTGAACTCCTGACCTCAGATGATCAGCCTGCCTTGGCCTCCCAAAGTTCTGGGATTACAGGTATGAGCCACTGCACACGGCCTGTATCCCCTAACTTTATAATTATAAAATGATTGAGAAATTTTGGTTAAAGGTGATGGATTGACTGACCATATAAGTTTATCTCTGCTTCTGCCTAAGGAATTAAAATGTTTTAAAATTGTAAACCCACATAGGAGGTATAAATGGGAATGTCAGTGGATAGAGACCTTCTGCCTGTGGAAGAATAGAGATAGGACATCTGACTTAATGGGTCAGAAAGCCTCGCCCTCCAGGGCAAGCACTGCAGACGGGAAGTGAGCTTATCTTCCCTGCAGAAGCCCTGGGAGGCTCAGGACTTGATGGCAGCAACAAGGAAGGGATGAAAAGGCCAGAAGACCACAGAGGGAGCGGTTGAAATCTTTACTCGAAAAAGCCCATTGCTTGCCCCTGCCCATGTTCAACACCCAGGCAGATGCCACCCCAACCCCAGCGGGAGACTGTAGATTCTTCTGTGGATGTAGTGAACATGGGAGACACAAGGGTAACTCTCTGAAAGTCTGGACACCTACTGGTTAAATCCCACCAGCCCAGTCCCCTCCTCTACCCAATACAGGGCAGCAGGAAGGAGGCCACTCCCCCACTCCCCCACCAAGTAGGAGACCTTCGGCGGTCCCCCTGCAGTCAAACAGCTGCTCTTGCTTGCAATTAACCAAAAAGCGAAGCCCAGCCTGTGAGCATCCAATCGACTCTTGCTGATAAATGGGGAGCTGAGGATGACCAGACATCTGCAGAAAGCCCCAGCTTGAGAGACAGAAAACAAAGTAAACATAGAGAAGGAAATTAAAGAAACCAACATTACAGCAGGAAACACAAGGAAATTTACCAAAAATTCTAATTAATAGTTTTCGAGAAATGAGAGAAATGCTACAGCTATAAAACAAGAACAGTATGCTAATTAAAAAAAAAAAAACACCAAATGCTGGCAAGGATGTGGAGCAACAGAAATTCTCCCTCATTGCTGGTGGGAATGTGAAATGGTACAGTCACTGTGGAAGACACAGTTTTTATGAAGCTAAACATAGTCTTACCATATGATCCAGCAATCACACTCCTAGGTATTTACCCAACTGAATTGAAAACTTATGTCCACACAAAAACCTACTGCTATGTTTATAGCAGCTTTATTCATATTTTTCAAAAACTGGACTCAACCAAGATGTCTGTCAGTAGGTAAATAGATAAACAAATGAGGTTCATCCACACAATAGAATGCTCTTCAGTGACTAAAAAAAAGAAATGATCCAGCCCACACCTGTGATCCCAGCTACTCGGGCTCCTGAGGCAGGAGGATGGCTTGCATCCAGGAGTTCAAGACCAGCCTGGGCAACATAACAGGCCTTTTGTAGAGACAAAAAAGAAAAATATTTTTTTGTAGAGACAAAAATATTATTTAAAATAAGTTTTTGTCTCTACAAAAAATAATTTTAAATAATAGCCAGGTGTGGCAGTATGTGCCTGTAGTCCCAGCTACTTGGGAGGCTAAGGCAGGGGGATCACTTGAGCCCAGGATGTCAAGGCTTCAGTGAGCTGTGATGGCACCACTGCACTCCAGCCTGGGGTGACAGAGTGAGACCGTGTCTCTGAAAAAAAGAAAGAAATG
Organism: Homo sapiens; assembly: GCF_000001405.40. Lineage (NCBI taxonomy): Eukaryota > Metazoa > Chordata > Mammalia > Primates > Hominidae > Homo > Homo sapiens. The sequence continues at coordinate 127,060,799 of NC_000003.12, read as the reverse complement.
ATTTACCATGTCACAAAAATACATGGAGAAAGTTTAAATACATGTTATTAAGCGAAAAAAAGCCAGTATGAAAAGGCTATGTACTATATGATCCCAACTGTATGACATTCTAGGAAAGGCAAAACTATAGAGACAGTGAAAAGATCAATGGTTGCTAAAGCACAGGGCAATTTTAGGGCTGTGAAGTTCCTGTTTGACACTGTAACAGGGGATGCACCACATTCTGCCTTTGTCAAAACCCACAGAGAAGTACAACCAAGGGTGAACTATAGACTTTAGTTAATAATAACGTATCGATATTGGGTTATTAACTATAACAAGTGTGCCACTAATGCAAGATGTTAATAACAGAGGAATTGTGTTCAGGGGTGGGATTACACGGGAACTCTATACAATCTGCTCAATTTCTCTGTAAATCCAAAACTTAAAAGTGGTCTATTATTTAGTTTTTAAATGATAGCTGCAAAAAAATGAACATCAGCCTACACCTCATACATTACATAAAATTCAATTCAAAATGGATCACAGACTTAAATGTAAACTATAAAACTTTTAGGAAAAAAAGAGCATAACAGAAACTCTAGAGCTAGGCAAAGAGTTCTTCAACCTGACACAGAAAGCATGGGCCGTAAAAAAAAATTAACAAACTGGACTTTGTTAAAATTACAAACTTTTGCTTGCAAAAGGCTCTTTTAACAGGGTGAAAAGACAAGCTACAGACTAGGAGACATATTTGCAAACCACATATCCAATAAAGGACTAGTATCTAGAATATAAAAAGAACACTCAAAACTTAGCAATAAAAAAAAAATCCCTTCAGTTAATAGGGTAGCTAAAAGTTGAAAAAGAAAAACAAGCCAATCTAGTTAGAAAGTGGACAAAAGACACAAATGGACATATTATTAAAGAAGACATGTAGATGGCAAATAAGCATATAAAAAGATGTTCAACATCTTATCCATAAAGGAAACGCATGTTAAACCACAAAGATATACGCTACAGACCTAACAGAATGGCTAAAATGGAAACTAGTGGTAACACCAAATGCTGGTGAGGATGTGCATCCTAATCGCCACTCATTAGCAAAGGCAGGCTATGCTATCGTATCTTCCACATCTATCATTGAGGCTACCACTCTGCCCCCCGTCCACTACCTCTCAGCCAACAGAAGTCATTGCCTTAACTCAAGACCTCACCCTTGCAAAAGGACTATGCGTCAATATTTATACTGACTCTAAATGTGCAGAAACTGTATTGCTCGTACATTCCTGGTAGGAATGTAAAATGGCACAGCCAGTCTGGAAAAGAGTTCAGCAGTTTCTTATAAAACTAAGTATGCAACTACCATACAACCCAACAACTGCACTGTATTCCAGAGAAATGAAAAAGTATGTTCCTGCAACCATCTGTACATAAATACTCATAGCAGCATTACTCGTGATAGCCCAGATCTGGAAACAATCTAGATATCCTTCACCAGATGAATGGCTAAACAAACTGTAGTACGTTGTACTATGCAATATTATTTTGCAATAAAAGGAATGAACTATTGATACACGCAACAACTTGGATGGATCTCCAGAGAATTCTGCTGAGTGAAAAAGCCAAGCCCAAAGGATTACATACTCTGTGGTTCTATTCATATAATACCATTGAGATGACAAAATTATAGAACTGAAGAACAGATTAGTGGTTGCCAAGGATCAAGGTTAGAGGGACGGGGGAAGGAAAAGTTGTTTTGGATATAAACAAGGGTGGCTACAAGAGATACCTGAAGCAATGGAAATGTTCTTTATCTTGACTGCATTAATGTCAATATCCTGGTTGTGATATTCTACCATAGCTTTACAAACCATTACCACTGGGGGAAATTGAGTACAGAGTACACAGAAATATCTGTATTATTTATTATAAGTGCATGTGAATATAATTATCCCAAAATAAAAAATGTAATAACAACATTAAAATATGATAGCTGATTTTTAAAAATCTACCCAAGGATTAAAACATAAAGTTGCAGAAATCTGCAAGAAAGCAGAACAAAAGGAAAGAGAGAGAAAATATGAGAGAAAAAAGAAATGTTAACAAATTAGTCCAGATGGTCCCTCACTTACTAATAGAAGGCCCAGAAAATACAGTGAAACAAAAACTGTTCTGAAGCAAGAATTAAGGAAGCCAGGCAGAATCAGGCCAATCACGAGGCCCAGCAAGCCTGCAGAATTGGAGGCACCAGATACCCTGGAGGTAGGGTCTGGGCATTTGGATCCCTATCCCCCACCATCCCAGTTGAAGATGGGAGGTTTATTCTCTGTGGAGGGTGAACCCAGACTCTCTGGAGGTGGGGAGCTCAGCCTTTCTCAGGGCAGAAGTGAGGCTCTTTACTGAAAAAGTGGAGTGTGTGAGAAGCCTGCACAGGGAGTCAAGAGACGCCTGCCCCACTCCCAGTCCACTCACAAATGGCTCACCCAGGCAGGAGAATGGAAGATTGCTCTCTGGAGGAACAGCTTGGCCCCACGGGGTCACCCACCAGCCCACAAGTCCCACGGATTTCCCTTGTATGGTTTCAGCTGAACGTATAATTGCTGGACACTGAAGTGCACTCATCCTGAGAGTCTAGCATGATGATTTTTCACTAACAGGACACGCCCTTAGTCAGCCAGATCAAGAGAGAGAATAAACCTGCATCCCAGAAACCTCCTCAGCCCCTTTGAGTCGCCACCCCCAGGCAAAGACAACACTATCGTGACTCCTAGCACACAGATTTGTCTTGCCTGGTTCCATGCTTTAGGCAAAGGTGTGCTGTTTCAAGACTGGCTTCTTCTCTTCAGCATCATATTTGAGATTCGCCCCGTGACTTGCACAAATATGGTCCATTCTTGGTGCTGGAGAGCATTCCATTGTGTGGGTACAGTATTGTCCACTCTACTGTTAATGAACATTGGGGTCGTTTCCAATTTGGGCTCTTACAAATACATATTATGTGTTTAATCAGCTTTTAGTGCCTCCCTCTTAAATATGAACAGAAAGTCAAGGGATCACCTGAAGAAAGCCTGCAGTCTGAAAAACAGGGAGTAGAACAAAGGGTGTCAGAAGGAAACTGAAGGGAGTGTCTTCAGAGAGAGAAGGGAAGATCCAGAGAACATGCACAAGAGGTTCTAGCAAAGAAAATGATGAGAACGGAAAGGAGCTCTGAGAAATGAAATATGTGGAGCATAAATTTGAAAATTCAGTTGGAAGAGGGGGAGATAAGAGTGAGGAAACACTCCAGAGAGTTAGACAAAATGGCAAAAGGAAGAAACAAAACAAAATCAGATGGTTAGTCCAGGATGTCCACCGTCTAAATAACAGGCACTCAGAACAGAGAAAACTAAGGAGAGAAAAATCATCCAATAAATACGAGCATTACAGAACTGAGGGACATTGGTTCCTGCACTGAGGGGCCTCACGAAGGGTCCAGTCCAATGAATAAAGACAGACTCTCACCAAGGCACATTTCCATAAATGTCAAAGTCAAGGAGATAACAGAGGATCGGGTCACAGAGGATAAGGTTCCAACAGCATCTGACTTCTCCACAGCACTGTGGAAGCTAGAAGATGATGACACCATAGCTCTAACCTAGATTTCAATACCCAGCCAAAGTATCCTCAGTATACATGGAAAATAAAAATGTTTACATGTAAATGTAAAATAAAATATTTTCAGATACTTAAGGCTTCAAAAATGTTGCCTCTCCTGTGCACACTTACTATGAGCCTACTGGAAAATGTGCTAGGTCTATGTGCATGCCCAAGCCAGGGCAGAAAGGGGCACCAGGATATCAGACCCTGAAACTATGCCCCAAAGAGCTTTTTAAAAACCAGTGACTAACAGAAATTCTTGGGAGTCAAGCTTTTATTTTCTCATAAGTATCACGATGTTGGCCTCTAGCACACAAGGCAGTGAGCCCCTTCGCTCGGTAACAACCTTGAGGCTGGAGCCCAGAGCTAAGGCCAGGGGGTTCCCAGGGCAGTGAAGACAGAGAGACCAAGAACACAGCAACAGCCAGTGTAAGCATCCGGGGCTCCAGGAGTGATGTTGTCAAGAAAAAATTAAAGTTGGTGGATTACTAAATATGTTTGAGAAACCAACTGAGAGGTGACAGCATGCTGGCAGCCCTTGCAGCCCTCGCTGGCTCTTGGTGCCTCTTTGGCCTCGGCATCTGCTCTGGCCAAGCTTGGGGAGCCCTTCAGCCTGCCACTGCACTGTGGGGGCCCCTCTCTGGGCTGGTTGAGGTTGGAGCCGGCTCCCTCAACTTGCCGGGAGGTGTGGAGGGAGAGGCGCGGGCAGGAACCAGGCTGTGGGCAGCGCTTGTGGGCCAGCTAGAGTTCCGGATGGGTGTGGGCTTGGCAGGCCCCGCACTTGGAGCAGCCGGCCAACTCGCCAGCCCCGGGCAGTGAGGGGCTTGGCACCTGGGCCAACAGCTGCGGAGGGTGCGCCAGGTCCCCCAGCAGTGCCGGCCCACAAGCGCTGCACTCGATTTCTTGCTGGGCCTTAGCTGCCTCCCTGTGGGGCAGGGCTCCAGACCTGCAGCCCCTGTGCGGGATCCACTGGGTGAAGCCAGCTGGGCTCCTGAGTCTAGTGGGGACTTGGAGAACCTTTATGTCTAGCTAAGGGATTATAAATACACCAATCAGCACTCTGTATCTAGCTCAAGGTTTGTAAACACCAGTCAGCACCCTGTGTCTAGCTCAGGGTTTGTGGATGCACCAGTTGGCACTCTGTATCTAGCTAATCTGGTGGGGACTTGGAGAATCTTTATGTCTAGCTAAGGGATTGTGAATACACCAGTCGGCACTCTGTATCTAGCTCAGGGTTTGTGGATGCACCAGTCAGCGCTCTGTGTCTAGCTAATCTGGTGGGGACTTGGAGAATCTTTATGTCTAGCTAAGGGATTGTGAATGCACCAATCGACACTCTGTATCTAGCTCAAGGTTTGTAAATGCACCAATCAGCACTCTGTGTCTAGCTCAGGGTTTGTAAATACACCAATCAACACTCTGTATCTAGCTAATCTAGTGGGGACCATGGAGAACTTTTGTGTCTAGCTCAGGGATTGTAAACGCACCAATCAGCACCCTGTCAAAACGGACCAATCAGCTCTCTGTAAAACAGACCAATTGGCTCTCTGTAAAATGGACCAATCAGCAGGATGTGGGTGGGGCCAGATAAGAGAATAAAATTAGGCTGCCCGAGCCAGCAGTGGCAACCGCCTCGGGTCCCCCTCCCCACAGTGGAAGCTTTGTTCTTTTGCTCTTTGCAATAAATCTTGCTGCTGCTCACTTTTTGGGTCCACACTGCCTTTATGAGCTATAACACTCACCTCAAAGGTCTGCAGCTTCAGTCCTGAAGTCAGCAAGACCACGAACCCACCAGAACAGAAGGAAGAAACTCCAAACACATCTGAACATCAGAAGGAACAAACTCCGGACACGCCGCATTTAAGAAGTGTGACACTCACTGCAAGCGTCCGCGGCTTCATTCTTGAAGTCAGTGAGACCAAGAACCCATGAATTCCAGACCCACAACAATAATAAAAACCAAGCAAACCCCTAAAATGGGGCAAATCCAGAGGGAAAATTGCATAAGAAAATCAATGTAATCATGGTGCACTATGGGACTCATCTATGAACAATATTTACACAACCAGAGGAATACCAGTGCTAGAAATGCATTTCACCAAAAATCGTGATATGACTACGAGAATAGGACAGGGAGGGGGGACGTGTGTAAAAACAGGGGAAGATAAAAAGCTGCGTCCTGGTCTTAGGACAATGATAGCAGATAGTGCCTAATATTGGAATGTCTGGAATTGATGGTGCAGTCCTGTTCTCAGGCCTGGGGTGGGACATAACAGAAAAGCCATTGAAGAGGGCCGAAGACAGTTGCCTCAAGGACTAAGTGGAGTTGGAGTGTTCAAGGGAAGGAGAGGGGTCAGAAGATTTTTGTTTTAAGCTTGATAATGCTACGATTTGAATTTTTAAGCCATATACATTTTATTTTGTTTAAAAAAATACAGAAAAAAGTCTCTATTCACAATGCAATAAAACCAGATATAACTAATATAAAGGCCCTTTGCTTGGAAATTTTAAAGCTCTCTTAAGCAAAACTTGGATCAAAGAAGAAATAAAATTCCAAATTGACATATTCAGAAATAATAAAAACACTATTGGAGCTATTGTTCCTCAGAGGAAAATTCATAGCCTTAAACGTTTATATTAATAAACAAGAAGCAATGCAAATAATTGAATTAAACATCCAACTCAGTAGGTTAGAAAAAGGACAAGAGAATAATCCTAGTCATTGTTTTTGGCTGTCCTGCAAGGTGAATACTCTTTCTATGAGCAGAGCCCCACAAAAGCCCAGGTCCTCACCTTCTCCACCTCACAGTCCCTCCCAGGCTGAGTGGGGCCAACCTGTGTAGTGACACATGTGATTTGCAAGGTTAGGCCACAACATGGCTTTCTCTTGGGTCACTCGCTCCAGGGAAGCCAGCCGCCATATTGCAAGGACACTCAAGCAGTCCCATGGAGAGTCCCCACAATGAGGAGCCACAGCCTTCTGCCAACACCAGCAGTGAGCAAGTCACGTTGGGAGCAGACCCACCAGCCCCAGTCAAACCTGCAGGTGGCTGCAGCCTAATGAGACAGTGAAGCAGAGCCATCAGCCCAGCCACTTGCTGGCCCTCAGGAGCAGTGTGAGATCATCAGCGTTTGTTGTCTTAAGCCACTGAGTTTTGCAATAATTGTTATGCAGGAAAAGATAATTAGTACAATGGGAATCTAGTTAAAATGCAGGTTCTCCCTAAGCCTCATTGAGGCCTCAGATTTGGGCATTAACAAGCTCCCAGTGGTGCCCGGGGCTGGAGAGCAGGACCTAGGCTCCACCATCAGACCCTCAGCCCCAAATTTGACCAGGAAGCTGGTGACACAAGCAAGGGCCACTGTGAGGGCATCAGAGGCTGCTGTAGTTGCAGCGGGGACTGCAGGAAGGCCAAAAGCATGCGACACTGGCAAATGCACAAGGCAGCAGCCACATGTGCCTCAGCCCAGCCTTGCAGCACAACTTTGGCTGCATGGACTCCTGGAGGCTCTGTGAGGTCCCCTATAACCTTTCAATAGATTTCATTCCCTTCAAATCAGAGCTCGTTTCTGTTTGCCTGCAGCTGGGAACTCTGGCTGACACAGTTGCTCTGTGGCTAGGGAACAGTTTTTGGCCAAAGTTGCACGGCAAAGTCACTACACGGGCCATGAGAACATCTCTGCTGGGCCTCCTGGGCATGCACACCAAGGATGGTGCCAGGGAACTGTGTGTAGATAACTTAGCACTCATGAAGGCCCAACACTGAAGGAGTGGGAGAAGTCCCAAATGAAGACCCACCTGGGACTCAGGCTTATGACAATGGAGTGGGCCCTGGTGAGTGGCAGGGCCCCTGGGCTCTTAGACGGTGTCTTGGAAGGACCGACCCATCACTGGTACGTAAGTGTACAAAAGGGAGACACGAGGAGCAGTGTAATACACATAAGCCTCCCAGCGTGCACCCCAGCACAACAGAGCCTGAGAAATCTGAGGAATCAGGACATGCACTAGTGACGGCACAAATCCCATGTGCTGTGGTCCACCAGGGGCTTGGCACCCACTGGGCTGCCTGCAGGAGATGCAAGGACTATGTATTGGGGGTGGGCAAGTGGAGGAGGAAAAGCCAGCATCTTTGCCCAGGAGGACATTTTTGTTTGCTGGGATGTTTCAGGAGCTCTGGGGAGCCCCAGGCAGGTGTGGGGAGAGTGCCTGGGGTGCCAGCAGGACTGAAGTGGCAGAGTTTGGGGATAATGTGCTTAGGTTCAGAGAAACCAAGTCCTGGGTTCAAGACTCTTGAGTGGGAGGGGAGAGTCTGCAGACAGGGGCCATTATGCTGCCCCACGGGGACACATGTGGGCACATTATTTGCCATCTGGGAGTGTACACAGGTCCTCTCCTATTTCCTGACCCTGTCTTATCCAACTGCAGAGAATGGGTGTCCTGGGTGACCCAGAGAGAAGTGCTGTCTGGCCAAGCACCTGGTCAATCTGACTCCAGGGCCTGGCCCACGCAGGGACCTTGACACCATCAGGGGTCTTAGTTGCAAACCTTGGAGACTCTATGCACTGATAGGGCTAGCTCAGAGGCTCTTCAGGAGGCCTGGAGGAAATGGGGACAAAGCAGGAAAAGCCACAGCCAGGACCACAGCCAAAAACCACACCCCAGCCCAGGCTGGTGCGGAGTCCCCTGGTGCTGCCATGGAGCTGTGGGTGCGCCTTTGCATAGCCACCGCTCACCTCGAGCAGGCTGCCACTGGTGGGGCTGACCCTGACCAGATCCTCCACGCTGTGGTGTGCTGCTGCAAAGGAGGCTGGGAAGGGAGCCTGGACCTGCCCAACCTTGCAAGGGAAGATTGAGCCTCGGCAGGCAGAGCCGCCCGGGGTCGAGAGGGAGTTCAGATCCTGGGCAGCCAAGCCAAGGCAGTACTGTGCACTCCAAGGCCGGTCCTAGCGGCAGCCGCAAGTGTGGGAAGGTCTCCAGGTCCTTGGCCTTTGGATGCACTCTGAGCGGACAGGGAAGTGGAACACTGAGGACATTCCAGACTCAGCCCCAGCGGCTCCCGGCCTGTTCTCCTGATTCCAGACAGAGTGGCACCGCCTTGGGGCTGACTACCAGAACTTCTGCCACACTTTATGGGCCAAAGTGGGTCATGGAAGCAGCCCGATTTCATGGGATGGGAAATGGACTCTGTGTCTTCCTGCAAGGAGCAGCAGGGGATGTGATGGAGACAGCTTTGCAATCACGGCCCTGACAGCCTTGTCACCTCCTAACCTGAAGCCCACGGTGGCTTCTGCGTGGGGAGGTCCTGTGAAGCCTGCACTCAAAGCTCTGTGGGCACAGCAGGGTTGGTGACCACAGTCATGGCCCCACAGAGGGGTGGGGAGGCCTCTGATTCTTTAAAGCACAGAAGTTCTACCCTGGGAGGTGAAAAATTGTCCATTGTACCCAATTTTCGGGTCTTGCAAAGCCCTGGGAATGGCTGTGGAGACAGCTCGTGCCACCTTGGAGAGGTGTCCGTGGCACCAGGGGAGTGGGGGACAACTTTGCACACTTGTCTGGCTGGAGATAGGCAGGGTGTGTGCACAGAAGCGCAGCCATGTGTGTGCAAAGACCAGCATTCAGTTGTCGTTCATTTTTCCATTCACTGGGTATTTACTGAGGACCTACTGTGTGCTGAGCACTGTCCCAAGGGCTAAAGACACAGCAGGAGCTGAGACAGACAAAACCCTTGTTCTCACAGGCCAATAAATCAGATAGATAAAACTATGGCAATGCGTGTTTTGGGGAAAAGATGGCAGGACTGAGGGACAGGGGCCACTGTTGGAAACGGCCATTCAAACAGGGAGGGAGTCGCTGAGAAAAAGGCATTGGAGTAGGTGTGGTGGATGGAGAATTCAGACCAGCAAAGCTTAGAATTCCTAGGCCTGGTGGCTATTTAGTTTCTAGAGCTCAGTGGTCAGAACCCAGAAACCCAGCCCCAGGATCACTGGCCATCCACTCTCATGGTGCCCCTTGCTGCGGATCTGCAAGCCTCCAGGGCACAGAGCAGTGGGGAAATTTCTTCTCCAAACTCCAACCCATCCTCACCATGGAAGGCATTTTGAGAGTCAGTTGCTATGGGAAGTATTTCAACTGGCAGGAATTCAAAAGCCAAGAATGACTGCCTATCAACCCTCAAGGGCCCCCACCTGGGAGATTTAATGGGGCTTTATCGGGCGTGCTGGGAACTCGCCCCAGGAATGAAGTGGCTCTGCAGCCATGCAGCAGCTTCCTAATCCAGGATTACGCTGCCAGGAGGCAGGGGCCGTGCTGCCTGCCCTTTTTATTGGTGTCCAAGCAGGCACCCCCAGCCATCATCGACCTCCATGGGTGGAGGCAGAGGGGACAATCTCAACTACTGGATGGTTAAGCTACGGAACATGCCAATCTCTCACCTGTTGGTGGCTACAGCAGCTCTGGGTAACAGACACCTGTCCCAGGTGCAGTGTCCAAGACTGCAGACAGAGATGGGCTTCTGCCGGTAACCAGAGCTAAAGACTGCTGGAAAAGACCCATGCTTGTGAAAAAGGCCAGTGAGGAGCCCTGCTGGTTAGGAGGAGCTGTCAGACTGGGGATGGGGTTGTGACAGTAATGCTTCCCCATCCGCATCATGCCCGCCCTGGTTCAGATCTCTAAGGAAATGACCGTGATCAAGCAGCATGACCAGGCTCCAAAAGGGGCGAAAGAGGAGCTCCCTGACTCCCGCATAGTGCTCCCTCAGTGGGTGGGAGCAAGAATGGGAAACCCTAGGGGTGGAGAAACCCTGAGGGGAAGTGTGAGCCCCACCCCTCCAGACATTCATCAGGGTCAGGGCCTCTGGGACTTAGAGGAAAAACAAAATGCTGCTCACAGGATCATGGCAGGGGGTGAGGGCCCCCGTCCAGTAAGGGTTTGTTGCACAAAACAGACACCACTGCAGTGATTCAGGAGAAAGGTATGGAGCAGTGGGAACGGCATGCTCACTCCATCACTGGGAAGGCTGAGAAATGACCTCTGGTGGGCTCTCCAGAAGACCCCCACTGGAAGTGTTGATATCCAGAACATTCTTCCCCAGCTGTGAGGCAGGAGTCGACAAGACATTGTATCCAAATTGCAGAACACCAAAGATGAAAAGAAGATCCTAAAAATAGCCAGTAAAAAAGAAAATCACCTTTGAGGAAAAAGTTTGACTGGCAGCCCACCTCCTCAGGGCAGCTACTGAGGCCACAGAACAGTGGATTGGTGTCTTCAAAGTGCTACAAAAATGGCTCCACTTAGCATTGCATACCCAGCAAAACTATCTTTCAAGAAAGAGGGTGAAACGAATTAAAGGTAACTTCAGAAAAAAAGAGAGGGTTTATCACCAAGAGACACGTCAAAGGAACTTGTGTTCCACGTTCTGGTGTCCAGCATTGGCGTTCCTCTGTTTTCCCTGGACCCTGCCCTCCCTGCAGCTCCTCCTCTGTCTTCCCTGGGAATCGCCCTCCCTGTAGCTCCTCCTCTGTCTTCCTGGACCCCGCCCTCCCTGCCAGCTCCTCCTTTGTCTTCCTTGGGCCCCACCTTGTCTGCCAGCTCCTCCTCTGTCTTCCCTGCAGCTCTTCCTCTGTCTTCCCTGGGCCCCACCCTGTCTGCCTGTTCCTCCTCTGTCTTCCCTACAGCTCTTCCTCTGTCTTCCCTGGGCCCCACCCTGTCTGCTTGCTCCTCCTCTGTCTTCCCTGCAGCTCTTCCTCTGTCTTCCCTGGGACCCACCCTGTCTGCTTGCTCCTCCTCTGTCTTCCCTGCAGCTCTTCCTCTGTCTTCCCTGGGCCCCACCCTGTCTGCCTGCTCCTCCTCTGTCTTCCCTTCAGCTCTTCCTGTCTTCCCTGGGTACTGCCCTGCCTGCGGCTCCACTCTCCCTCTCTTGGATCCCACACCCCACCACTGAAACTAACTTCAGATTTATCATTCTCTTATTAGAAGCAGTGCATTGAAAGGGCACCATTAAAAAAGTGAAAAAATTCACATAATGTGTGAAAAATTTTGCAAATCATACATCTGATAATGGATTGGTATTTAGAATACATATAGGACTATTATAATTCAATAATAAAGAGACAAATAATCAAATTTAAAAGTGGGAAAGGGACTTGAGTAGACATTTCTCCAAAGAAGATATACAAGTGGCCACAAAGAACATGAAATGATGCTCAAAATTCCTAGCCCTCGGGGAAATGCAAATCAAAGCTGCAGCAGGGTCCCCTCACACCTGCTAGGATGGCTAGAATAAAAAACCCATAAGAACAAATGCTGACAAGGAAGCAGAGAAACTGGGACCCTCATTGATTCCATACATGGTGGAATGTAAAATGGCACAGATGCTTTGGAAAATAGACTGGCAGCTCCTTAGATGATTAAATATGGAGTGACCATGTGACCCAGAAATTCCACTCCTAGCTCTTTACAACAGAGAAATGAATGTTCACCCCAAAATTGTACCTGAATATTCACAGCAGCATTATTCAGTTTAGCAAAAAAGTGGAAATAGCCCAAATGCCTATCAATTGCCAAGTGGATAAACAGTATGTGGTGCACCCTACAGTGGAGTATTATTCAGCCATACAAAGGGAAATACTTACACATACCGCAACCCGGGTGAACCTTGGAAACATGCTCAGTGAGAGAAGCCAGTCGGAAAGAACTACTAATTTATGATTCCACTTATATGAAACATCCAGAATGGGCAAATCTGCAGACACAGAATGCAGAACACTGGTTGTCAGGGGCTGGGGGATATGGAGGAAAGGGGACATACATGGTTTTTCTTTGGGGTAATGAAAATGTCCTGGAATTGAATAGCTGTGATGGTTGCACAACTCTGTGAAGATAGAAAAAGCCATTGAGTTACACACCTAAGTGGATGGAATTGGGTGTTATGTGAATTCTGAGTAAAACTGTTGAGAACAAAAAGCAAAGCATGGCCTGGCACGGCGGCTCACACCTGTAATCCCAGCACTTTGGGAGGCCAAGGCCAGCGGATCATCTGAGGTCGGGAGTTTGACACCAGTCAGAACCAGCATGGAGAAACCTTGTCTCTACTAAAAATACAAAATTAGCCGGGCGTGGTGGTGCATGCCTGTAATCTCAGTGTGTCCAGAATTGGTGGGTTCTTGGTCTCACTGACTTCAAGAACGAAGCCGCGGACCCTCACGGTGAGTGTTACAGCTCTTAAGGTGGCACATCTGGAGTCTGTCCCTTCTGATGTTCAGATGTGTTCGGAGTTTCTTCCTTCTGGTGGGTTCGTGGTCTCGCTGGCTCAGGAGTGAAGCTGCAGACCTTTGCGGTGAGTGTTACAGCTCTTAAGGCAGCACGTCTGGAGTTGTTCGTTCCTCCCGGTGGCCTCGTGGTCTTGCTGGGCTCAGGAGTGAAGCTGCAGATCTTCACGGTGAGTGTTACAGCTCATAAAAGCAGCGTGGACCCAAAGAGTGAGCAGTAGCAAGATTTATTGCAAAGAGCAAAAGAACAAAGCTTCCACAGCGTGGAAAGGGACCTGAGCAGGTTACCAATGCTGGCTCCGGCAGCCTGCTTTTATTCTCTTATCTGGCCCCACCCACGTCCTGCTGATTGGTAGAGCCGAGTGGCCTGTTTTGTTAGGGCGCTGATTGGTGCATTTACAATCCCTGAGCTAGATACAAAGGTTCTCCACGTCCCCATCAGATTAGTTAGATACAGAGTTTCGACACACAGGTTCTCCAAGGCCCCACCAGAGCAGCTAGATACAGTGTCAATTGGTGCATTCACAAACCTTGAGCTAAACACAGGGTGCTGATTGGTGTGTTTACAAACCTTGAGCTAGATACAGAGTGCCGATTGGTGTATTTACAATCCTTGAGCTAGACATAAAGGTTCTCCACGTCCTCACCAGAGCAGCTAGATACAGAGTGTCGATTGGTGCACTCACAAACCTTGAGCTAAACACAGGGTGCTGATTGGTGTATTTACAATCCCTGAGCTAGACATAAAGGTTCTCCAAGGCCCCACCAGACTCAGGAGCCCAGCTGGCTTCACCTAGTGGATCCCGCACCGGGGCTGCAGGTGGAGCTGCCTGCCAATCCCGTGCCGTGCGCTCGCATTCCTCAGCCCTTGGGTGGTCGATGGGACTAGGCACCGTGGAGCAGGGGGTGGTGCTCTTCGGGGAGGCTCGGGCTGCACAGGAGCCCATGGAGTGGGTGGGAGGCTCAGGCATGGCGGGCTGCAGGTCCCGAGCCCCGCCCCGCAGGAAGGCAGCTAAGGCGCGGCGAGAAATTGAGCACAGCGCCTGTGGGCTGGCACTGCTGGGGGACCCAGTACCCCCTCCGCAGCCACTGGCCCGGGTGCTAAGTCCCTCATTGCCCAGGGCCAGCAGGGCTGGCCGGCTGCTCCGAGTGCGGGGCCCGCCAAGCCCATGCCCACCCGGAACTCCAGCTGGCCCGCAAGCGTCGCACGCAGCCCCGGTTCCCACTCGCGCCTCTCTCTCCACACCTCCCTGCAAGCTGAGGGAGTGGGCTCCAGCCTTGGCCAGCCCAGAAAGGGGCTCCCACAGTGCAGTGGTGGGCTGAAGGGCTCCTCAAGTGCCGCCAAAGTGGGAGTCCAGGCAGAGGAGGTGCCAAGGGCAAGCGAGGGCTCTGAGGACTGCCAGCATGCTGTCACCTCTCACCAGCTACTCTGGAGGCTGAGGCAGGAGAATCCCTTGAACCCAGGAGGCGGAGGTTGCAGTAAGCTGAGATCATACCGTAACTGCACTCCAACCTGGGCAACAGAGCCAGACTCTGTCTCAAAAAATAATAATAATAATAATAAAGAAAAAAAAGAAAAAACAAAAAGGCAAAGCATTTCTTCTCTTCCTCGGTTCTAACCCCAAACTTGCATATGAGATCCATTATCTACTCAGAAAGCCAAGCCCCACTCTGCTTCACAGAAATCATTCTCTTTAGAAGCAGCTGACAACCCCCTCCCCACACAAAATTACAACGTATATTCTTTCATACCCAGAAAATGGGCCTAGCCCTGCCCTGTCCAATGGAAATACAACATGAACCAGGAGCTTAATTTTAAATTTTCTAGTGGCCATATTTTAGAAAGCAAAATAAATAGGTAAAATTAATACCATAGTTTATTTAATCCAATATCTCCAAAACATTATAATTTCAAAATGTGACCCATTTAAAATGTTTAATATTTTACATCTGATGTGTGTTTTGCACACACAGGACATCTCAATTCAGACGAAGCACATTTGAAGTGCTCAACAGCCACAGCAGAGAGCTGCCCTCTGTAAGTCCCAAGTGACAGACTGGCTTAGGCAAAGGGAGAAATGGGACTTGGCAAACGTAACTGAATGCCCCGACAGTTCTAGTCTTTAGACACCACGGATCCAGAAGTTTAAACTTTCTCTCTCTCTTTCCCTTCCCCTCTCTTCCTCTCTACCCACCCTCTCTCTCTGCCTCTGTCCTTTCCTCCCTCCCTCTCCCTCTCCTCCTTTCTCTCTCATTCTCTTTCCTTCCCTCTCCCTCTCTCTCTCTCTCCCCTTTCCCCTTCCCTCCCTCTTCCTCTCTCTCCCTCCTTCCCTCCCTCCTCCCTTTCTCTCCTTCCCTCCCTCCCTCTCTCCCTTTCTCTCCTTCCCTCCCTCCCTCTCTCCCTTTCTGTCCTTCCCTCCCTTTCCTTTCTCCTTCCCTTTCTCCCTCCCCATCGCTCTCTCCTCCTCTGCCTCTTTTTCTCCTTCTCTCTTCCCTTCGCTCCCTCCCTCTCTCCCCATCTCTCGGTTCTGAATTCCTCTGAATTATCTTCTCTCCTCGGCTCATGGAGTGGCCTCCAGCAGTTCTTGGTTTACCAACTCCCCCCTATGTAAAGGAGGAATCTCTTTTTCAGGGGAAGAAAATGTCCCTATGGAGTGGCATGCTGAGCCCTGACTGGAGGAAGGGATCTTCTGATTGGCCAATCGGGCCCCATGTGTCTGCTGGGGGTGTGACTTGCTCGCTGCTGGCAGGGCAGGAGGAGCAGTGTCCCCCACCCTCCACCTGCACCTGAGCCAGGACTCTCTAGGGCTGAGAATGTACACAGCTCTGCTCAGGCATTTTGTTAATGGAGCTTCTTAATTGTATGTAACTTACCTAATTTTGCTCCCAAGCTTCTGTCCTACTGGGAAGCAGGAACAACATTCCAAACTTTGAAAATAGCTTAATCTGGCCGGGCGCGGTGGCTCACGCCTGTAATCCCAGCACTTTGGGAGGCCGAGGCGGGCGGATCACGAGGTCAGGAGATCGAGACCATCCCGGCTAAAACGGTGAAACCCCGTCTCTACTAAAAATACAAAAAAATTAGCCGGGCGTAGTGGCGGGCGCCTGTAGTCCCAGCTACTTGGGAGGCTGAGGAAGGAGAATGGCGTGAACCCGGGAGGCGGAGCTTGCAGTGAGCCGAGATCCCGCCACTGCACTCCAGCCTGGGTGACAGAGCGAGACTCCGTCTCAAAAAAAAAAAAGAAAATAGCTTAATCTAGTGCTATTTAAATGATCTCTCTTGTTTTCATAGTCTCTTGTGGGAAAATGGTAAGTTCTGGTCTCTGTTAAACTTCCTATCAGGATCTTTCTCCCTTTTCTTCCTTCTTCCCAAGATGACACTGGGGGCTAATGCAAAGCTCCCAGGTCTTCTTGGCAGTAGGGAAGGGGAGGTCAGCTCTGTGGGCCTGCTGTGGGAGTGCCTTAGCACACTCAGGGCCACCATGTACAGCTGTGTGGGTTGTGCACTGCACAACTCCATGGGATGACATCAGCATAGACTAGAGTGTATTTGGTACTCCCTGGAGTTGTCTCTCCCCTCTGCTTCTCAGCCCTGAATGCCCCTGGCTTCTAGATGTGTGCTGGCTCTGCAGCCCCGCCCAGCAGCCTGCTCCTGACTCCAGGCCCTGCTGTACTGGCAGGCTTCTCAGCACTTCTCTACCCCTTGAGGAGCCATAGGCAATTTCTGGGTCACTAACCCCTCCACAGGAGACAAGGGGTGCTGTCTCTTAGGGGAGAAAGCAGGCCTCTCCTTCACACCCACCTTTCTCAGTCCCATCAGGAGAGCCGGGGCCTCCCTCACCATGACTCTTGACCCTGCCAGATGTAGAGGGTTAACTGAGTTTCTTCCCATCAAAGCTTTGCTTTTGACAGATGAGGCAGCAGAAGGGTTGGGCGACCCCCATTCCCTCTGTCGCAATGGCCTGTGGCCAGGAGGAATGAGGGCTTCTTTGTCCCAGGTGGCATCCACCCTCCAGGAAACATGGGTTTAGAGGGCACGAAATCATCACACAGTTCCACCCCACCCTGCAGGGGAGGGCACTGGCCATTATAATTGTTCCTTCATTTTACAGTGGAGAAACTGAGGCTGAGAAAGAGACAGAGACTTGCTCCGAATCACAGGAGGCACAGGCCGCAAGACAAGGATCCCTGGCCAGGCCTGCTCCTTCTGTTCTCATGGACTGATCATTTAAAAAGGAATTTGCGTCTTGAAAACTACTTTTTAAGGAATTTGTTTCACTAAGAGACAAGAGGACTTCTGGCTCTCTTTCTTGGACTTAAAACTGTTTTTGCACCCTCCCTCCAGCCTTTCAGGCTGGCAAATGCGCAAAGAATGACAGGAATGTCGCACACCTGCGGGTGCCAAGTTGTCTGAGAAACCAGGCCCAGAGGAGGTGAGCCCCACTCAGAGCCCCACTGGGAGGGGTGGAAGCCACTGGGCAGGCTCAGCCACGTGGAACAAAGGAGAAAAAGTGCCGGGGAGTGCATGGCAGGGGAAAGCGAATGCACAGGGCAGGCTGGGCCCAGCTCCGCTCACACCAGGCAGCGTCTGGGTGGTTGGTGAGAGCCTCAGGTAGGACCCCCCACCGCAGGCAGCATCTGGGGGAAGGAAAGCTGATCTGCAGAGGGAAATGCGTCAGGGTTCTCAGTAGCTGTAGATAGACAGACAGGTGATCGTTCTGAGTTGGCCTGTGGTTTCATGGAGGGTAAGTCCCGGGGCCTGCAGGGCGAGCGTGAGTGGAGCCAGGAGGCTGGCCGGCTTGGGACTCAGGAAGAGTCCATGTTTCAGTTCGAGTCTGACCCGTGTCTCAGCCCAAAAGCTGTCAGGCAGAAGAAATTCTCTTCCTCTGAGGAGGGTCAAGCTTTTGTTCTCTCCAGGCCCTCACCTGATGTAGGAGGCGCACCTGCCCTGGGGAGGGCGGTCTGGTTCACTCAGTCTCCACCCAAACGCTCATCGCATCCAGAAACGTCCTCAGAAGCACTAGGACAAGGCCTGGCCACGTATCTGGGCACCCGAGGCCCAGGCAAGTTGACACATCCAGTCACCAACACAGGGCACCCCAAAGGGATGGCGCAGCCGGAAGCCATACTCACCCAGGCCAGAGGGGCAGGGGGAGGAGGGGCTGTCACCGGCACAGGCCAGCACAAAGGAGGATGCCCACCCCAAGGGAGGGCCAGGGGAGCCGAGAACGGCTCCTCTCTCCCACCCAACCTCACTCCAGGCAGCCAGTGGAGGGGGCTGGGAAGTGGACTTTGCAAGGTCACATGTCCGCAGAGAGAGAAGGGTAGACCAGAGAAAGACCCCTGAGCCGGCAGGTAGAATGTAGCCCAGAGATCCACGCACCAAGAACAGAGCCCCACCAGGGTCTTCAGCATCTCACTAGCATCTCGCCATTGATCAGAGGAAAGCCTTTACGTGAGCAACAGCTTTTTGCTAGAATTTAAGATTATTTTTACCTCTATTGTAGTTATTTGTATAGACCTCTTCTATTAGGAATGGTTCTGTCCCATTCACGGTAACCACTTAGTGCCATCAAGTTTTCCATTTGAATAATTTCTTCCGGTCGAAAGAGGAGAGTGTTTTCAGAGAAAAAGTCCAGGTAGACGGAAGACCTGGGTGCATGGAGTGAGAGATACCAAGGCGAGGGCAGGCCAAGGCTGTGCCCCAAACTCCTGATCAGCCTGACTTCACCAGGGCCTCCTGGCAGGTGTGGCAGGGAGCACTGCCTGCTGGGAGATTGAACCTGCAACCCAGCAAACAGGGATGGAGCCACTTGTCAAACACCACCCAAGCCCGCTGTGTCCAAGTCTTCAGACACATGACCTGGCTCTGCAATTAAAACGGCTGGAAAACAGAAGGGGAGGGCGTGGGATCCAAAGAGGAGAGACAGAAAACCAAGCGTAACAGGGGGCCTTGTCCAAATCCAAGCAACCCCTCTGTGAAAATTCAGGTTGGAGATAGTTAAGGACATTGGAATATGCAAACATTCATTTTGTTAGTGTGATAATGACACAGTGGTTATGTAAGGAGAAAATGTCTATCCATTAGAAAAAATACAAACAGTCTCATAAACAAAGGAAAGAGGTATTTGTCAAAGCTGGGCTTCAGGAACGTTCACCTGGGAGCAATGAGTTGTAAGGTGGAAACTGGAACCTGAGATTCTGAGCAGAGGCACAGATTCGGAGAGAGTTGGGGACATCCCTGGGCAGGGGCACAGCCGACAGGACCCGTGCTGTCTGGGATTCTGAACGTCCTGAGCTCCTTCTCCGTCCTGGCCCTGCCTGGGGTGGAGGCCATGGTGCTGATCCTGGAGTAGCCCTGCTGCCTGTGACTGCAGCCCAGCGAGGGACAGGCCTGCCATAGACAGCATGTGGCAGGTCACCCAGGCGGGGCTGCTTGGTGGGGCAGGAGCTTCTGCAGGGTTGGGAGGGTTCCATATGGAGGTGGCTTTGCCAAGATGGGGAGCCCGTGATGGGGCATGGCAGGGAGATGAGAGGCTCTGCCCTGGACATTGTGAGCAGCAGCCAGAGATGCCAGCGTCCCTAGGGCAGTGAGCAAGGAGAGGCCGGGGCTGCAGGGAGTCTGGGGCGCCAGCATCGCTGCAGCTGATGATGCGTGTCTCCTGCTTGAGGACAGTCTGTGGCATTCGCGTCCACACAGTGAAACTCAAACTCTTTTTTAAAAACTTTATTATTAATTTTAAATGTGGGAAAACACACGTAACATAAAATATAACATCTTAACTATTTGTAAGTGCGCAGCTCAGCGGCACTAGGAGCATTCCCATTGCTCTGCAGCTATCACCACCATCCGTCTTAGAACGTTCATCTTCTCCACTGAAGCTCTGTCCCCATCCAACTCTTAACTCCCATCTCTCCTCCTGCAGCCTCTGGCGCCCACCATTCTATCTTCATCTCTATGACTGTGACTACCTAGGGACCTCTAGGGACCTCACAAAAGTGGAATCATACAGTATTTGCCTTTTTGTGCTTGGCTTGTTTCAAGTTCACCCATGTCGTCGCATGCGTGAGAATTTCCTTCCTTTCAAAGGCTGAATGGGATTCCATTGTTTGGATGCACCACTTTTTGTCCATTCACCTGTCGATGGATGCTTGGGGTGCCTCCACCTTCTGGCTCTGTGAATAGTGCTGCTGTGAACGTGGGTGTGGAAGTGTCTCTGAGGCACTGCTCTCCATTCTTTTGTGTGTTCACCCAGAGGCGGGGTTGCTGGGTCACATGGTGATTCTATACTTAACTTTTCAGGAGCTGCCACACCTCGTCCACAGGAACTGTATGATTTTCCTTCCCCACCAGCAGTGGGGAGACCCTCCCCTCCACCTGCGCACTTCTCCACAATCTGCAAAACCCTGCTGTTCAAATGGACTAATCCCTCCTCTGGCATGTGGCCTGGGCCTACCAATCAGAGTACCTCATCCTTTAGGCCAGAATGACTGGTTCAAATAGCAAATCAAGACATTGCCCCAAACATTGGCCAATGAAATCCCTACCTGGATGTGCGTGATGACCAAGGGTGTCCTGTTTTCACCAGGACTGCTCAGCTGGTAGACCTAGAGCCTCTGGTGGTCATCGCTGCCCCCCACTTAGGAAGAGCTGGCCTGAGAATGAAGCCCTTACAGAGGACAGAGAAGGAGGACAGACTTCTCATGACCTCCAGGAGCCCCTGGATCCAGCCATGCCTGAGGTAGATGCACCCTTGGACTTTTTGATTTCAAGAGCCTGCTAGTTCCCTTTCTTGCTTCAGCCAGCTTAAGTTTCTATCATTTCTAATGCAGGGGGGCACCCAGCAGGGAACATGTGCTCAGGTGCTTCTCAGGGTGGTTTTAGCCGGATGCAGCAACGATGGCTGGAACGCCCATCTCTCAAACAGACCCCACGCTGGGCAGAGTGCGTGAGTCTCCCAGCCATGGGGGCAGACTCAAGGGGCTGACGGCATCTACAAGGCGGCTACAGGGGAAATGCTCCTGAGAACATGCTTTCCTCAAAGTTCCCGAGGCCCCAGGGCATTGCTCACTGCCAGCTGCTCACGCCCCTCTGCTCTGTGTCCAGACTCTGGGTATCAGGCCCTGGTGTTGTCCTCAAGGAGTCTCCAGCATGGAGACCACTAGAGGAGTGCTGCAGCATGAAGTAGAGAGTCTGAGTTTGAATCCTGGTCCCACCATGGGTAACGGTGTGTCCTTGAGGGTAGTGACTTTACCTCTCTGCTCCCAGGTTCTCCCCTCTACAATGGGGCTGGTCCTGGTACTGACTTGCAGCCCGGCAGCCTTGTATGCTGCAGAAACCACTCCCCAGCATCCGTGTCCCATTCCCCAAAGGTCTATGGTGCACCTGCCTATGTGCCCAGTGCAGGCTGGCTGGAGGCTCTGCTCCAGGACTAGAGGCTCAGCCTGGATATGACCCAAGTCACTTCCACCGACAACTCCATGACTGTTGTCCTCAGAAAGAACACATCTGCCCCCAAAGCTCCACCATCAGGGCTGATGGCTCTCCAGGAAGGCCCCAAAGGGGTGCCACGGGCCACGGGCCCTGGGGATACCTGCAGGAGCCTCTTGGTCTCCAGCCTCCTCTGGCCTTGTCCCGCGACTGCCAGACGCGCGAATCAGAGCCCACCCTCCTCGCTCCCCAAGGCACAGCACCTCCTGCACCTCCCTGCACAGAGCTGACCTGGCCTCTTCCATTGCTCTGGACACAGGGAATGCTCTCTCCGATGTCACCTCAGCTGGCTCCTTGTTTCTCAAGCCTCGATTCCTCCATCCCTCCTCAGGCCTTCCCTGCCCACTTGGCCAGGTGGGCACCCTCCCATGCCACCAGTTTTCTTCAGGGCAAGACACCATCTATAGTCACTGTATCAGGTTTTAGCCTGGCCTGTTACTTTTTATTTCTGCTCAGAGCCTGTGTTTGCTCTTGAGCTGTGGCTGCTCTGGGGTCCAGGTGGGAAGTCTGAAGTCA